>NC_000020.11:29204768-29271546 GCF_000001405.40 Homo sapiens | reverse complement strand
TCACAAAGAGGTTTCTCAGAAAGCCTCTCTCTATTTTTATGTGAAGATATTTCCTTTTTCACCATAGGCCTCAAAGCACTCACAAATATCCCTTTGCAGACTCTACAAGAACAGTTTCCAGACTGACCAGAGAAAAGAAACGTTTACTTCTGTGAGATGAATGCATACATCACAAAGCTGTTTCTGAGAAACTTTGTTTATACTTTTTATGTGAATATATTTTCTTTTTCACCATAGGCCTCAAAGCACTCACAAATATCCCTTTGCAGACTCTACAAGAACAGTTTCCAGACTGACCAGAGAAAAGAAACGTTTACCTCTGTGAGATGAATGCATACATCACAAAGCTGTTTCTGAGAAACTTTGTTTATACTTTTTATGTGAATATATTTTCTTTTTTACCATATGCCTCAAAGGACTCATAAATATCCCTTTGCAGATTCTACAAAAAGACTATTTCCAAACTGTTCAATCAAAAGAATGGTTGAACTCTATGAGATGAATGCACACATCACAAAGAAGTTTCTCAGAAAGCTTCTGTCTAGTTTTTATGTGAAGATATTTCCTATTACATCATAGGCCTCATAGGTCTCAAAAATATGTCTTTACAGATTCTACAAAAATACTGTATCCAAATTGCTCAATCCAAAGAAAGGTTCAAATCTATGAGATGAATGCACACATCACAAGGAGGTTTCTCAGAAAGCTTCTTTCTAGTTTTCATGTGAAAATATTTCCTTTTTCACCATAGGGGTCAAAGCATCACAAATATCCCTTTGCAGATTCTAAAAAATATTGTTTACAAACTGCTCAATCAAAAGAATGTTTCAACTCTGTGAGATGAATTCTCACATCTCCAAGGTGTTTCACAGAAAACTTCTGTCTAGTTTTTACGTGAAGATAATTCCTTTTTCATCATATGCCTCAAAGCACTGAAAAATATCCCTTTGCAGATTTTCAAGAACGGAATTTCCAATCTGCTCAATGAAGAGAAATGGTTACCTCTGTGAGATGAAAGCACACATCACAAAGCAGTTTCTCAGAAATATTCTGTCTAGTATTTATGCAAATATAATTCCTTTTTCAACATAGGACACAAAGCACTAACTAATAACCATTTGGAAATTCTACAAAATACTGTTTACAAACTGCTCATCAAAAGAAAGTTTCACCTCTGTGGGATGAATGCATATATCAAAAAGATGTTTCTCAGAAAGCTTTTATCTTGTTTTTATGTGAATGAGTTTCCTTTTTCACCATGGTACTCAAAGTGCTCGAAAATATCCCTTTGCAGATCTTAAAAAAAGACTGTTTCCAAACTGCTGAGTCAAAGAATGTTTCAACTCTGTGAGATGAATGCACACATCACAAAGAAGTTGTTCACAAACCTTCTTTATACTTTTTATGTAAAGATATTTCCTTTTACCCTTAGACCTCAAAGCACTCACAAATATACCTTTGCAGGTTCTACAAAAAGATGGTTTCCCAACTGCTCAATCAAAAGAATTGTTGAACTCTGTGAGATGAATGCATACATCACAAAGCAGTTTCTCAGAATTCTTTAGTCTGGTTTTTATGTGAAGATATTTTCTCTTTCACCATAGGCCTCAAAGTGCTCAGAAATATCCCTTTACAGATTCCACAAAAAGACGTTTCTAAACTGCTCAATCAAAAGAAAGTTTCAATTCTGTGAGATGAATGCATACATCACCAAAAAGTTTCTCAGTAGGGTTCTGTCTAGTTTTTATGTGAAGACAATTCCTTTTTCACCACAGGGCTCTATGCACTCACAAATATCCCTTAGCAGATTCTAAAACAACAGAGTTTCCCAACTGATCAAAGAAAAGAATTGATTACCTCTGTGAGATGAATGCAGACATCACAAAACAGTTTCTCAGAAACCTTCTTTATAGTTTTCTGTGAAGATATTTCTTTTTCTGCATAGGCCTCAAAGTGCTCACAAATATCCATTGGCAGATTCTGCAAAAATGCTGTTTCCAAAACTGCTGAAGCAAAAGAGAGGGTCAAATCTGTGAGATGAATGCACATATCACAAAGAAGTATCTCAGAAAATTTCTTTACACTTTGTTTGTGAAGATATTTCCTTTGTCAACATAGGCCTCAAAGTGCTCAAAAATACCCCTTTTCAGATTGTACAAGAACAGAGTTTCCAGACTGATCAGAGAAAAGAACTGCTTACCTCTGTGAGATGACTGCACACATCACAAGGCTGTTTTTAGGAAGCCTGTTTTACAGTTCTTATGTGAAGTTATGACCTTTTCTACCATAGGCCTCACAGCGCTCCAAATATCCACTAGCAGATTCTACAAAAAGAGTGTTGCAAAACTGCTCAATCAAAGGAAAGCTTCAAATCTGAGAGATGAAGGCAAACAACACAAAGAAGTTTCTCAGAATGCTTCTGTCTAATTTTTATGTTAAAATGTTTCCTTTTCCACCATAGGCATCAAAGCACTCCAAATATCCACATACAGATACTACAAAAAGACTGTTTCCAAACTGCTCAATCAAAGTGTGGTTCAACACTCTGAGATGAATGCACACATCACTAAGAGGTTTCTCAGAATGCTTCTGTCTAGTTTTCACATGAAGATATTTCCTTTTCCAACAAAGGCTTCAAATTGCAACAAATTTCCACTTACAGATACTACAAGAAGAGTATTTCAAAGCTGGTCAATCAAAAGAAAGTTTGAACTCAGTGAGATGAATGCAGACATCACAAAGCAGTTTCTCAGAATGTTTATGTCGAGTTTTTATGTGAAGATATTTCCTTTTCAACCAGAGTCCGCAAAGCGCTCCAAATATCCAATTTCAGATTCTACAAAAAGAGTGTTTCAACACTGCTCAAACAAAAGAAAGTTTCAACTCTGTGAGTGTAATGCACACAGCACAAAGAAGTTACTCAGATTGCTTCTGTCTAGTTTTTATGTGAAGATATTCCCTTTTCCACCATAGGCCCCAAAGCACAACAAATATCCACTTGCAGATTCTACAAAAAGTGTGTTTCAAAACAGCTCAATCAAGAGAAAGGTTCAACTCTGTGAGGTGAATGCACACATCACAAAGAAGCTTCTCAGAATGCTTCTGTCTAGTTTTTAAGTGATGATATTTCCTTTTCAACTATAGGCTGCAAAGCACTCCAAATATCCACTTGCAGATTCTATAAAAAGAGTGTTTCAAAACTTCTCAATCAAAAGAAAGGTTCAACTCTGAGATGAACGTACACATCACAAAGAAGTTTCTCAGAAAGTTTCTCTCTAGTTTTTACATGAAGATATTTCCTATTGCCCCAGAGGCCTCAATGGGTTTCTCAAATATCCCTTTGCAGATTGTACAAAATGACTGTTTCCAAACTGCTCAATCAAAAGAAAGGTTTACCTCTGTGATATGAATGCACACATCATAAACAAGTTTCTCATAATGCTTCTGTCTAGTTTTAATGTGAAGATATTACCCTTTCCACTGTAGTCCACAAAGCGCTCCAAATATACACTTGCAGATTCTACAAGAGGATGGTTTCCAAACTGCTCAATCAAAAGAAAGATTCAACTCTGTGAGATGAATGCACAAGTCACAAGAAGTTACTCAGAATGCTTCTGTCTAGTTTTTATGTGAAGTTTTTTCCTTTTCCACTATAGGCCACAAAGCGCTCCAAATATACCCATGCAGATTCTATAAAAAGAGGGTTTCCAAACTGCTCAATCAAAAAAAAGGTTCAACTCTGTGAGATGAATGCAAAAATCACAGAGAAGTTTCTCAGAATGCTTCTGTCTAGGTTTCATCTGAAGATATATCCTTTTCCTCTATAGGCCCCAAAATGCTACAAATATCCACTTGCAGATACTACAAGAAGAGTGTTTCAAAACTGCTCAATCAAAAGAAAGGTTCAACTCTGTGAAATGAATGCACACATAAAAAAGAAGTTCCTCAGAATACTTCTGTCAAGTTTTTATGTGAATATATTTCCTTTTTCAACGTATGCCTCAAAGCACTCCAAATATCCATTTGCAGATAGTACAGAAAGACTGTTTCCAAACTGCTCAATCAAAAGAAAAGTTCAACTCTGTGAGATGAATGCACACATCAGAAGGAAGTTTCTCAGAATGTTTCTGTCTATTTCTTATCTGAAGATATTTCCTATTTCTCCAGAGGCCTCAGTGGTCTGGAAAATATCCCTCTACAGAGTCTACAAAACGATTGTTGCCAAACTGCGCAATCAACACAAAGGTTCAAGTCTGTGAAATGAAGGCATACATGACAAAGAAGTTTCTCAGATTGCTTCTGTCTATTTTTTATGTGAAGATATTTCCTTTTCACCATAGGTCTCAAAGCGCTCCAAATATCCACCTGCAGATTCTACAAAAACACTGATTCCAAACTGTCTAATCAAAAGAAAGTTTCAACTTTGTGAGATGAATGCACAGATCATAAAGAAGTTTCTCAGAATGCTTCTGTCTAATTTTTATGTGGAGATATTTCCTTTCGCACCATAGGCCTCAAAGCTCTCAAAATATCCACCTGCAGATTTGACAAAAAGAGTGTTTCAAAACTGCTCAATCAAAAGAAAGTTTCAACTCTGTGAGTTGAATACACTCATCGCAAATAAGTTTCTCAGAATGCTTCTATTATTTATGTGAAGATATGTCCTTTTCCACCGTATGCCTCAATCCACTCCAAATATCCATTTTTAAGTATTACAAAAAGAGTGTTTCAAAACTGATCATTCAAAACAAAGGTTCAACTCTGTGAGTTGAATGCACACATCACAAAGAAGTTTCTCAGATTGCTTCTGTGTAGTTTTTATGTGAAGATATTTCCTTTTCCACCATGGGCCCCAAAGTGCTCCAAACATCCAGATGCAGATTCTACAAAAAGAGTGTTTCAAAACTGATCAATCAAAAGAAATGTTCAACTCTGTGAGAAGAGCAAACACATCACAAAGAAGTTTCTCAGAATCCTTCGGTCTAATTTTTACGTGAAGATATTTCCTTTTCCAACATAGGCCTCAAAGCGCTCCAAATATCCACTTACAGATTCTACAAAAAGAGTGCTTCAAAACTGTTCAATCAATAGAAAGGTTCAACTCTGTGAGTTGAATGCACACATCAAAAAGAAATTTCTCAGAATGGTTCTGTCTAATTTTTATTTAAAGATATTTCGTTTTCCACCATAGGCCTCAAAGTGCTCCAAATATCCACCTGCAGATTCTACAAAAAGAGTGTTTCAAAACTGCTTAATTAAAATAAAGCTTCAACTCTGTGACATGAATGCACACATCACAAATAAGTTTCTCAGAATGCTTCTGTCTAGTTTTTCTGTGAAGATATTTCCTTTTCCAGTAAAGGTCACAAATCACGCAAAATATCCACTTGCAGATACCACAAAAACCGTGTTTAAAAACTGCACAATCAAAAGAAAGGTTCAGCGTTGTGAGTTTAATGCACACATCACAAAGAAGTTTCTCAGAATGCTTCTGTCTAATTTTTATGTGAAGATATTTCCTTTTCCACCATAGGCCTCAAAGTGCTCCAAATATCCACTTGCAGATTGTACAAAAAGAGTGTTTCAACACTACTCAATTAAAAAAAAAAAGGTTCAACTCTATGAGATGAATGCAGACATCACAAAGAAGATTCTCAGAATGTTGCTGTTGAATTTTTATATGAAGATATTTCCTTTTCCACCATAGGCAACAAGGTGCTGCAAACATATACTTGCGGATTCTACAAAAGGACTATTTCAGAACTGCTCAATCAAAAGAAGGGTTCAACTCGGTAAGATGAAGGCACAAATCAAAAAGAAGTTTCTCAGAATTCTTCTGTCAAGTTTTTATGTGAAGATACTTCCTTTTCCACCACAGTCCTCAATGCGCTCAATCAAAAGAAAGGTTCAACTCTATGAGATGAATGTATACATGAGAAAGAAGTTTCTCAGAATGCTTCTGTCTAGTTTCTATGTGAAGATATTTCCGTTTCCACCATAGACAGCAAAGTGCTCCAAACATCCAGTTGCAGATTCTACAAAAATAATGGTTCAAAACTGCTCAGTTAAAAAAAAAGGTTCAACTCTGTGAGATGAATGCACACATCAAAAAGATGTTTGTCCGAATGTTTCTGTCTAGTTTTTATGTGAAGATATTTCCATTTCCAAGATAGGCCTCAAAGTGCTCCAAATATACACTTGCAGATTGTACAAAAAGAGTGTTTCAAAACTGCTCAATCAAAAGAAGCATTCCACTCTGTGAGATGAATGCTCACAGCACAAAGAGGTTTCTCAGAATGCTTCCATCTAGTTTTTATGTGAAGATATTTCCTTTGCCACCATAGACCTCAAAGCACTCCAAATACCAATTTGGAGTTTCTACAAAAAGAGTGTTTCCAAACTGCTCAATCAAAAGAAAGGCTCAACTCTGTGAGATAAATGCACACATCACAAACAAGTTTGTCAGAATGCTTCTGTCTAGTTTTTCTTTGAAGATATTTTCTTTTCTACCATAGACCGCAAAGCGCTCCAAATATTCACTTGCGGATTATACAAAAAGTGTGTTTCAAAACTGCTCAATCAAAAGAAAGATTCAACTCTATGACACGAATGGACACATCACAAAGAATTTCTCAGAATGGTGCTGTCTAGTTTTTATTTGAAGATATTTTCTTTTCCACCATAGGCCGCTAAGGTCTCCAAATATTCACTTGCAGATTCTACAAAAAGAGTGCTTCAAAAGTACTGAATCAAAAGAAATTTTCAACTCGGTGAGATGAATGCACACATCAAAAAGAAGTTTCTCAGAATGCTTCTGTCTAGTTTTTATGTGAAGATATTTCCTTTTCCACCTTAGGCCAAAAACCACTCCAAATATCCACTTGTAGATTCTACAAAAAGAGTGTTTCAAAACTGCTCAGTCAAAAGAAAGTTTCAACTCTATGAGTTCAATGCAGACATAACAAAGAAGTTCCTCAGAATGCTTCTGTCTTGTTTTTATGTGAAGATATTTCCTTTTCCACAATAGTCCACAAAGTGCTCCAAATATCCACTTTCACATTCTACAAAAGGAGTGTTTCAAAACTGCTCAATCGAAAGAAAGATTCAACACTTTGAGATGAATGCACACATAACAAAGTAGTTTCTCAGAATCCTTCTGTCTAGTTTTTACGTGAAGATATTTCCTTTTCCACCATAGGCCCCAAAGAGCTCCAAATATCCACTTGCAGATTCTACAAAAGGAGTGTTTCAAAACTGCTCTATCAAAAGAATTTTTCAACTCTTTGAGATGAACGCACACATCACAAAGAACTTTCTCAGAATGCTTCTGTCTAGTTTTTATGTGAAGATATTTCCTTTTCCACCAAAGACCTCAAAGAGCCCCAAATATCCCCATGCAGATACTTCAAAAACAGAGTTTCAAAACTGTTCAATGAAAAGAAAGGTTCAACTCTGTGAGATGAATGCACGCATCACACAGAAGTTTCTCAGAATGCTTCTGTCTAGTTTTTATGTGAAGATATTTCCTTTTCCACCACATACCACAAAGGGCTCCAAATACCCACTTGCAGATTGTACAAAAAGAGTGTTTCAAAACTACTCAATCAAAAGGAAGTTTCACCTCTGTGAGATGAATGCATACATCACAATACAGTTTCTCAGAGTGCTTCTGTCTAGCATTTATACGAAAATATTTCCTTTTCCCCCATAGGCTGCAAAGCGCTCCAAATATACATTTGCAGATTCCACAAAAAGTGTGTTTCAAAACTGCTCAATCAAAAGAAAGGTACAACTCTGTGAGATGAATGCACGCATCACAAAGAAGTTACTCGGAATGCTTCTGTCTAGCTTTTATGTGACGATATTTCCTTTTCCACCATAGGCCCCAAACCACTCCAATTATCTGCTAGCAGATACTAAAAAAAAGTGTTTCCAACCTGCTCAAAAAAAGCAAGGTTGAATTCTGTGAGATGAACGCACACATCACAAAGAAGTTTCTGAGAATGCTTCTGTCTAGTTTTTATGTGAAGGTATTTCCTTTTCCACCATTGGCCGCAAAGTGCTCCAAATATACACTTGCAGATTCTACAAAAAGAGTGTTTCAAAACTGAACCATCAAAAGAAAGGTTTAACACTATGAGATGAATGCACACATCACAAAGATGTATCTCAGAATGCTTCTGTCTAGTTTTTATGTGAAGATATTTCCTTTTCCACCATAGGACTCAAAGAACTCTAAATCTCCACTTGTAGATTCTACAAACAGAGGGTTTCAAAACTGCTCAATGAAAAGAAAGGTTCAACTCTGCGAGATGAATGCACACCTCACAGAGAAGTTTCTCAGAATTCTTCTGTGACGTTTTTATGTGAAGATAATGCTTTTCAACCATAGGCCTCAAAGCGCTCCATATATCCAATTGCAGATTCCACAAAAAGAGTGTTTCAAAACTGTTCAATTAAAAGAAAGGTTCAACTCTGTGAGATGAATGCACACATCACAAAGAGGTTTCTCAGAATGTTTCTGCCTAGTTTTTATGCGAAGATAGTTCCTTTTCTACCATAGGCTGCAAAGTGCTCCAAATACACACTTGCAGATTCTACATCAAGAGTTTTTCAAAACTGCTCAATCAAAAGAAAGGTTCAACTCTGTGAGATGAATGTATACATCACAAAGTAGTTTCTCAGAATGCTTCTGTTTTTGTGTGAAGATATTTCCCTTTTCACCATAGGCCACTAAGCATCCCAAATATCTACTGGCAGTTTCTACAAAAGAGTGTTTCAAAACTGCTCAATCAAAAGAAAGACTCAACTCTGTGAGATGCATGCACACATCACAAAGTAGTTTCTCAGAGTGCTTCTGTCTAGTTTTTATGTGAAGATATTTCCTTTTCCACCATAGGCCTCAAAATGCTCCAAATATTCACTTGCAGATTCCACAAAAAGAGTGTTTCAAAACTGCTCAATAAAAAGACAGGTTCAACTCTGTGAGATGAATTCACACATCACAAAGAAGTTTCCCAGAATACTTCTGTCTAGTTTTTATATGAAGGTATTGCCTTTTATGCCATAGGCTGCAAATCATGCCAAATATCCACTTGCAGATTCTACAAAAAGAGTGTTTCTTAACTGCTCAATTAAAACAAAGGTTCAACTTTGTGCGATGAATGCGTACATTACAAGGAAGTTTCACAGAATGCTTCTGCCTAGTTTTTATGTAAAGATATTTCCTTTTCCACCATAGTCCTCAAAACCCTTCAAATATCCATTTACAGATTCTCCAAAAGAAGGTTTCCAAACTGCTCAATCAAAAGATAGGTTAAACACTGTGGGATGAATGCACACATCACAAAGAAGTTTCTCAGAATGCTTCTATCTACTTTTTATGTGAAGATATTTTCTTTTACACCATAGGCTGCAAATCGCTCCAAATATCCAATACCAGACTCTAGAAAAGTAGTGTTGCAAACTGCTCAATCAAAAGAAAGTTTCACCTTTGTGTAATGAATGCACACATCACAAAGAAGTTTCTCAGAATGCTTCTGTCTGGTTTTTATGGGAAGATATTTCCTTTTCCACCATAGGCCACAAAGCGCTCCAAATATCCTCTTGCAGGTTCTACAAAGAGAGTGTTTCAAAACTGCTCCATCAAAAGAAATGTACAACTCTGTGAGATGAACGCACACATCACAAAGAAGTTTCTCAGAATGATCTGTCTAGTTTTTATGTGAAGATATTTCCTTTTCCACTAAGGGCCTCAAAGTGCTCCAAATATCCACTTGCAGATTGTACAAAAAGAGTGTCTCAAAACTGTTCATTTAAAAGAAATGTTCACCTCTGTGAGATGAATGCACACATCACAAAGAAGTTTCTCAGAATGCTTCTGTATAGTTTTTATGTGAAGATATTTCCTTTTCCACTGGTGGACGCAAAGCTCTCCAAATACCCACTTGCAGATTCTACAAAAAGACTGTATCGAAACTTTTCAACCAAAAGGAAGGTTCAACCCTGTGTGTCAGGCAGACACCACAAAGAAGTTTCTCAGAATGCTTCTGTCTAGATTTATGTGAAGATACTTCCTTTTCCACCATAGGGCTCAAAGCACACCAAATATCCACTTGCAGATTCTACAAAAATAGTGTTTCAAAACTGCTCAATCAAAAGAAAGGTTCAACTCTGTAAGATGAATTCACACATAACAATGTAGTTCCTAAGAATGCTTCTGTCTACTTTTTATGTGAAGATATTTCCTTTTCTACTACAGGCCACAAAGCGCTCCAAAGATCCACTTGCAGATTCTTCAAAAAGAGTGATGCAAAACTGCTCAGTCAAAAGAAATGTTCAGCTCTGTTAGATGAATGCATACATCACAAAGAAGTTTCTCAGAATGCTTCCATTAGTTTTTATGTTAAGATATTACTTTTTCCACCATGGGCCTCAAAACGCTCCAAATATCAACTTGCATATTCTACAAAAAGAGCGTCTCGAAACTGCTCAAACAAAAGAAAGTTTCAACTCTTTGAGATGAATGCACACATCAGAAGAAGTTTCTCAGAATGTTTTTGTGCAGTTTTTATGTGAGGATACTTTCTTTTCCACAATAGGTCTCAAAGCAATTCAAATATCCACTTGCAGATACTATAAAAAGAGTGTTTCAAAACTGCTCAATCAAAAGAAAGGTTCAACTCAGTGAGATGATTGCACACAACACCAAGAAGTTTCTCAGAATGCTACTGTGTAGTTTACATGTGAAGATATTTCCTTTTACAATATAGGCCGGAAAGAGCTCCAAATATCCACTCGCAGATTCTACAAAAAGAGAGATTCAAAATGGCTCAATCAAAAGATAGGTTCAACACTGTGAGTTGAATCCACACATAACGAAGTAGTTTATCAGAATGCTTCTGTATAGTTTTTAAGTGAAGATATTTCCTTTTCCACCATAGTCCTCAAAGTGCTCCTAATATCCACTTGCAGATTCTACAAAAAGAGTGTTTCAAAACTGCTCAATGAAATGAAAGTTTGAACTCTGTGAGGTGAATGCACACATCACAAAGAAGTTTCTCAGAATGCTTCTGTTTAGTATTTATGTGAAGATATTTCTTTTTCCACGATAGGACTCAAAGCTCTTCAAATATCCACTTGCAGAGTCTATAAAAAGAGTGTTTCAAAACTGCTGAATCAAAAGAAAGGTTCAACCCTGTGAGATGAATGCACACATCACAAAGTAGTTTCTCAGAACGCTTCTGTGTAGTTTTTATGTGAAGATATTTTTTTTCCACCAGAGGCCGCAAAGGGCTCTAAATAGCCACTTGCAGATACCACAAAAACAGAGACTCAAAACTGCTCAATCAAAAGATAGGTTGAACTCGATGATTTCAATACACATATCACAAAGAAGTTTCTGAGAATGCTTCTGTGTAGTTTATATGTGAAGATATTTCCTTTTACAAAATAGGCTGGAAAGAGGTCCAAATATCCACTTGCAGATTCTACAAAAAGAGAGATTCAAAATGGCTCAATCAAAAGATAGGTTCAACTCTGTGAGTTGAATCCACACATAACAAAGTAGTTTATCAGAATGCTTCTGTATAGTTTTTAAGTGAAGATCTTTCCTTTTCCACCATAAGCCTCAAAGCGCTCCAAATATCCACTTCCAGATAGTACTAAAAGAGCGTTTCCAAACTGCTCTATCAAAAGAAGAGTTCCACTCTGTGAGACGAATGCACACATGACAAAGTAGTTTCTGAGAATGCTTCTGTGTAGTTTTTATGTGAAGATATTTCCTTTTCCACAATAGACCTCAAAGTTCTCTAAATATCCACTTGCAGATTCTACAAAAAGAGAGTTTCAAAACTCCTCAATCAAATGAAATGTTCAACTCTGTGAGATGAATGCACACATTCAAAGAAGCTTCTCAAAATTCTTCTGTGTAGTTTTATGGGAAGATATTTCATTTTCCATCATTATCCACAAAGGGCTCCAAATAATCACATGCAGTTTCTACAAAAAGAGAGTTTCAAAACTGCTCTATCAAAAGATAAGTTCAACTCCAAGAGTTGAATGCATACATCACAAACAAATTTCTCAGAATGCTTCTGTGCAGTTTTTATGTGAAAACATTTCCTTTTCCAGCATTGGCTTCATAGGGCTCCAAATATCCACTTGCAGATTCTACATGAAGATTGTTTGGAAACTGCACAATCAAAAGATAGGTTCAACTCTGTGAGATGAATGCACACATCACAAAGAAGTTTCTCAGGATGCTTCTGTGAAGTTTTTATGTGAAGATATTTCCTTTTCCACCATAGGCCACAAAGGGATCCAAATATCCACTTGCAGATTCCCTAAAAAAAGACTTTCAAAACTTCTCTATCAAGAGATAGGTTCAACTCTGCGAGTTGAATAGACATATCACAAGGAAGTTTCTCAGGAAGTTTCTGTGTAGTTTTTAAGTGAAGATATGTCCTTTTCCACCATAGGGTGCAAATGTCTCCAAATATCCAATTGCAGATTCTATAAAAAGAGAGTTTCAAAACTGCTCTTTGAAAAGTTAGGTTGAACTCTGTGAGTCGAATGAACACATCACAAAGAAGTTTCTGAGAATGCTTTGGTGTAGTTTTTATGTGAAGATATTTCCTTTTCCACCATAGGCCTCAAAGCCCTCCAATTATCGACTTGCAGATACTACAAAAAGAGTGTTTCCAAACTGCTCAATCAAAAGATAGGTTCAATTATGTGAGATGAATGCACACATCACAAAGACGTTTCTCAGAATGCTTCTGTGTAGTTATTATGTGAAGATATTTCTTTTTCAACATTAGGCTTCAAATCCCTCCAAATATCCACTTGCAGGTTCTACAAAAAGACTGTTTCAAAACTCCTCATTCAAATGAAAGGTTCATCTCTGTGAGATGAATGGACACATCACAAAGAAGTTTCTCAGATTGCCTCTGTGTAGTTTTTTATGTGAAGATATTTCCTTTTCACCATAGTTCTCAAAGTGCTCCAAATATCCACTTGCAGTTCCTACAAAAAGAGTGTTTCAAAACTCCTCAATCAAAAGAAAGGTTCAACTCTGTGAGATGAATGCCCACATCACAAACAAGTTTCTCAGAATGCCTCTTTGTAGTTTTCATGTGAAGATATTTCCTTTTCCACCGTAGGCCACAAAGGGCTCCAAATATCCACTTGCACTTTCCACAAAAAGAGAGTTTCAAAACTGCTCTATCAAAAGATAGGTACAACTCTGTGAGTTGAATGCACACATCACAAAGAAGTTTCTGAGAAAGTTTTGTGCTGTTTTTAGTGAAGATATTTCCTTTTCCACCATAGGTCTCAAAGCG
Source organism: Homo sapiens (assembly GCF_000001405.40). Taxonomy (NCBI): domain Eukaryota; kingdom Metazoa; phylum Chordata; class Mammalia; order Primates; family Hominidae; genus Homo; species Homo sapiens. Next base: position 29,258,203 of record NC_000020.11, on the reverse strand, counting down.
CTCCAAATATCCACTTGCACATTGTACATAAAGAGTGTTTCAAAACTGCTCAATCAAAAGAATGGTTCAACTCTGTGAGATGAATGAACACATCATGAAGAAATTTCTCAGAGTGCATCTGTGTAGTTTTTATGTGAAGATATTTCCTTTTCCACCATAGGCCAAAAAGGGCTCTAAATATCCACTTGCAGATTCTAAAAAAAGAGAGTTTCAAAACTGCTCTATCAAAGGAAAAGTTAAACTCTGTGACATGAATGCACACATCACAAAGTAGTTTCTCAGTATGCTTCTGTGTAGTTTTTATGTGAAGATACTTTCTTTTCCAGCATAGGTCTCAAAGCGCTCCAAATATCCACTTGAATATTCTGTAAAAGGAGTGTTTCAAAACTGCTCCATCAAAAGAAAGGTTCACCTCTGTGAGATGAATGCACACATCACAAAGAAGTTTCTCAGAATTCTTCTGTGTAGTTTTTATGTGAAAATATTTCCTTTTCCACAATAGGCCTCAATGTGTTACAAATATCCACTTGGAGATTCTACAAAAACTGTTTCCAGCTGCTAAATCAAAAGAAATGTTCAACTCTGTGAGATGAATGCACAAATCTCAAAATAGTTTCTGAGAATGCTTCTGTGTAGTTTTTCTTTGGAGACATTTCCTTTTCCACAATACGCCTCAAAGCACTCCAAATATCCACTTGCAGATTCTACAAAAAGACTGTTTCAAAACTGCTCAATCTAATGAAAATTTCAACTCTGTGAAATGAATGCCAACGTAACAAAGAAGTTTCTCAGTTTGCTTCTGTGTAGTTTTCATAGGAAGATATTTCCTTTTCCACCATCGGTCACAAAGGTCTCCAAATATCCACTTGCAGATTCTACCAAAAGGGAGATTCAAAACTGCTCAATCAAAAGATAATCTCAATGCTGTGAGATGAATGCATACATCACAAAGAAGTTTCTCAGAATGCTTCTGTTAGTTTTTATGTGAAGGTATTTCTTTTTCCACCATAGGACTCAAAATGCTCCAAATATCCACTTGCATATTCTACAAAAAGAGTGTCTCGAAACTGCTCAAACAAAAGAAGGGTTCAACTCTGTGATATGAATGCACACATCAGAAGAAGTTTCTCAGAATGCTTCTGTGTGGTTTTTATGTGGAGATACTTCCTTTTCCACAAGAGTCCTCAAAATGCTCCAAATATCCAACTGTAGATTCTACAAAAAGAGTGTTTCAAAACTGCTCAATCGAAAGAGAAGTTCAATTCTGTGAGATGAATGCACACATCACAAATAAGTTTCTCAGAATGCTTCTGTGTAGTTTTTATGTGAAGATATTTCCTTTTCCACAATAGGCCTCAAAGCGCTTCAAATATCCACTTGTAGATTCCATAAAAAGCGTGTTTCAAGACTGCTCAATCTGAAGAAATATTCAAGTCTGTGAGATGAACGCACACATCACGAAGAAGTTTCTCAGAATGCTTCTGTCAAGTTTTTATGTGAAGATATTTTCATTTCCACAATAGGCCTCAAAGCGCTCCAAATATCCACTTGCATAATATACAAAAAGAGTGTTTCAAAACTGCTCAATCAAAAGAAAGTTTCAACCATGTGAGAAGAATGCACACATCACAAAGAAGTTTCCCAGAATGCTTCTGTGTAGTTATTATGTGAAGATATTTCCTTTTCCACCGTTGGCTGTAAAGGGCTCCAAATATCCAATTGCAGAGTCTAAAAAAAGAGAGTTTCTAAACTGCTCTATTCAAAGACAGTTTCAACTCTGTGAGTTGAATGTACTCATAACAAAGAAGTTTCTGAGAATGATTCTGTGTATTTTTTATATTAAGATATTTCCTTTTCCACCACAGGCCTCAAAGCGCTTCAAATATCCACTTGCAGATTCCATAAAAAGCGTGTTTCAAGTCTGCTCAATCAGAAGAAAGATTCAACTCTTGAGATGAATGCACACATCACAAAGAAGTTTCTCAGAATTCTTCTGTCTAGTTTTTATGTGAAGATATTTTCTTTTCCACAATACGCCTCAATGTGCTCCAAATATCCGCTTGCATAGTATACAAAAGGAGTGTTTCAAAACTGCTCAATCAAATGAAAGTCTCAAATCTGTCAGATGAATGCACACATCACAAAGAAATTTCTCACAATGCATCTGTCTAGTTTTTATGTAAAGATATTTCCTTTTCCACCTTATGCCGCAAAGGGCTCTAAATACCCACTTCCAGATTCTAGAAAAAGAGGGTTTCAAAACTACTCTATCAAAAGATAGTTTCAACTCTGTGAATTGAATGCACACAGCATAAAGAGGTTTCTCAGAATGCATCTCTGTCATTTTTATGTGAAGATATTTCCTTTTCCAAAATAGGCTGCAAAAGGCTCCAATTATCCACTTGCAGATTCTACAAAAAGAGAGTGCAAAACTGCTCTATCAAAAGATAGGTTCAACTCTGTGAGATGAATGCACACATCACAAAGGAGATTCTCAGAATGCTTCTGTGTAGTTCTTAGGTGAAGATATTTCCTTTTCCAACATAGGCCTCAAAGCGCTACAACTATCCACATGCAGTCTCTACAAAAGTGAGTTTCAAAACTGCTCTATCAAAAGATGGGTTCAACTCTGAGAGTTGAATGCACGTATCATGATGAAGTTTCTCAGAATGCTTCCGTGTAGTTTTTATGTGAAGATATTTCCTTTTCCACAATAGACCTCAAAGCACTCCTAATATCCACTTGCAGATTCTACAAAAAGATTGTTTCAAAACTGATCAATCAAATGAAAGTTTCAACTCTGTGAGATGAATGCCCACATCACAAAGAAATTTCGCAGAATGGCTCTGTGTAGTTTTTAAATTTTATTTTATTATTATTATACTTTAAGTTTTAGGGTACATGTGCACAATGTGCAGTTTGGTTACACATGTATACATGTGCCATGCTGGTGCGCTGCACCCACTAACTCGTCATTTAGCATTAGGTATATCTCCGAAACCTATCCCTCCACGTCCCTCCACCCCACAACAGTCTCCAGAGTTCCCCTTCCTGTGTCCATGTGTACTCATTGTGGAATTCCCACCTACGAGTGAGAATATGCGGTGTTTGGTTTTTTGTTCTTGTGATAGTTTACTGAGACTGGTGATTTGCAATTTCATCCATGTCCCTACAAAGGACATGAACTCATTCTTTTTTATGGCTGCATAGTATTCCATGGTGTATATGTGCCACATTTTCTTAATCCAGTCTATCATTGTTGGACATTTGGGTTGGTTCCAAGTCTCTGCTGTTGTGCATAGTGCCGCAGTAAACATACATGTTCATGTGTCTTTATAGCAGCATGATTTATAGTCCTTTGGGTACATACCCAGTAATGGGATGGCTGGGTCAAATGGCATTTCTAGCTCTAGATCCCTGAGGAATCACCACACTGACTTCCACAATGGTTGATGACTGAACTAGTTTACAGTCCCACCAACAGTGTAAAAGTGTTCCTATTTCTCCACATCCTCTACAGCACCTGTTGTTTCCTGACTTTTTAATGATTGCCATTCTAACTGGTGTGAGATGGTATCTCATTGTGGTTTTGATTTGCATTTCTCTGATAGCCAGAGATGGTGAGCGTTTTTTCATGTTTTTTTTTTTTTTTGGCTGCATAAAAGTCTTCTTTTGAGAAGTGTCTGTTCATGCCCTTCACCCACTTTTTGATGGGGTTGTTTGTTTTTTTCTTGTAAATTTTTTTGAGTTCATTGTAGATTCTGGATATTAGCCCTTTGTCAGATGAGTAGGTTGCAAAAATTTTCTCCCATTTTGTAGGTTGTCTGATCACTCTGATGGTAGTTTCTTTTGCTGTGCAGAAGCTCTTTAGTTTAATTAGATCCCATTTGTCAATTTTGTCTTTTGTTGCCATTGCTTTTGGTGTTTTAGACATGAAGTCTTTGGTGATGCATATGTCCTGAATGGTAATGCCTAGGTTTTCTCCTAGGGTTTTTATGGTTTTGTGTCTAACGTTTAAGTCTTTAATCTGTCTTGAATTAGTTTTTGTATAAGGTGTAAGGAAGGGATCCAGTTTCAGCTTTCAACATATGGCTAGCCAGTTTTCCCAGCACCATTTATTAAATAGTGAATCCTGTTCCCATTGCTTGTTTTTCTCATGTTTGTCAAAGATCAGATAGTTGTAGATATGCAGCGTTATTTCTGAGGGCCCTGTTCTGTTCCATTGATCAATACCTCTGTTTTCGCACCAATACCATGCTTCTGTGTAGTTTTTATGTGGAGATATTACCTTTTCCACCTTAGGCTGTAAACAGCTCCAAATATCAACTTGCAGACGTTACAAAAAGAGACTTTCAAAACTGCTCTATCAAAAGATAGGTTCAACTCTGAGAGTATAATGCACACATCACAAAGAAGTTTTTCAGAATGCTTCTGTGAGGTTTTTATGTGAAAATATTTCGTTTTCCAACATAAGCCTCAAAGCGCTCCAAATATCCACTTGCAGATTCTACAAAAACAGTGTTTCAAAATTGCTCAATCAAATGAAAGATTAAAATCTGTGAGATGAATGCACACATCACAAAGAGGTTTCTCAGAATGCTTCTGTGTTGTTTTCATGTGAAGATATTTCCTTTTCCACCATAGGCTGCAAAAGGCTCCAAATATCCACTTACAGATTCTACAAAAACAGAGTTTCAAAACTGGTCTATCAAAATGTATGTTCAACACTGTGAGTTGAATACACACATCACAAAATACTTTCTCAGAATGCTTCTGTGTAGTTTTTTTTTCTTTTATTTATTATTATTATACTTTAAGTTGTAGGGTACATGTGCACAATGGGCAGGTTAGTTACATATGGATACATGTGCCGTGCTGGTGTGCTGCACCCATTAACTCGTCATCTAGCATTAGGTATATCTCCCAATGCAATCCCTCCCCCCTCCCCCCACCCCACAACAGTCCCCGGAGTGTGATGTTCCCCTTCCTGTGTCCATGTGTTCTCATTGTTCAATTCCCACCTATGAGTGAGAATATGCAGTGTTTGGTTTTTTGTTCTTGCGATAGTTTACTGAGAATGATGATTTCCAATTTCATCCATGTCCCTACAAAGGACATGAACTCATCATTTTTTATGGCTGCATAGTATTCCATGGTGTATATGTGCCACATTTTCTTAATCCAGTCTATCATTGTTGGACATTTGAGTTGGTTCCAAGTCTTTGCTATTGTGAATAATGCTGCAATAAACATACGTGTGCATGTGTCTTTACAGCAGCAAGATTTATAGTCCTTTGGGTATATACCCAGTAATGGGATGGCTGGGTCAAATGGTATTTCTAGTTCTAGATCCCTGAGGAATTGCCACACTGACTTCCACAACGGTTGAACTAGTTTACAGTCCCACCAACAGTGTAAAGGTGTTCCTATTTGTCCACATCCTCTCCAGCACCTGTTGTTTCCTGACTTTTTAATGATTGCCATTCTAACTGGTGTGAGATGGTATCTCATTGTGGTTTTGATTTGCTTTTCTCTGATGGCCAGTGATGGTGAGCATTTTTTCATGTGTTTTTTGGTTGCATAAATGTCTTCTTTTGAGAAGTGTCTGTTCATGTCCTTCGCTCACTTTTTGATGGTGTTGTTATTTTTTTTCTTGTAAATTTGCTTGTGTTCATTGTAGATTCTGGAAATTAGCCCTTTGTCAGATGAGTAGGTTGCAAAAATTTTCTCCCATTTTGTAGGTTGCCTGTTCACTCTGATGATAGTTCCTTTTGCTGTGCAGAAGTTCTTTAGTTTAATTAGGTCTGATTTGTCAATTTTGGCTTTTGTTGCTATTGCTTCTGGTGTTTTATACATGAAGTCCTTGCACATGCATATGTCCTGCATGGTAATGCCTAGGTTTTCTTCTAGGGTTTTTATGGTTTTAAGTCTAATGTTTAAATCTTTAATCCATCTTGAATTGATTTTTGTATAAGGTCTAAGGAAGGGATCCAGTTTCAGCTTTCTGCATATGGCTAGCCAGTTTTCCCAGCACCATTTATTAAATAGGGAATCCTTTCCCCATTGCTTGTTTTTCTCATGTTTGTCAAAGATCAGATAGTTGTAGATATGCGGCCTTATTTCTGAGGGCTCTTTTTTGTTCCCTTGATCTATATCTCTGTTTTGGTACCAGTTCCATGCTGTTTTGGTTACTGTAGTCTTGTAGTATAGTTTGAAGTCAGGTAGTGTGATGCCTCCAGCTTTGTTCTTTTGGCTTAGGATTGACTTGGCAATGGAGGCTCATTTTTGGTTCCATATGAACTTTAAAGTAGTTTTTTCCAATTCTGTGAAGACAGTCATTGGTAGCTTGATGGGGATGGCATTGAATCTGTAAATTACCTTGGGCCGTATGGCCATTTTCACGATATTGATTCTTCCTACCCATGAGCATGGAATTTTCTTCCATTTGTATCCTCTTTTATTTCCTTGAGCAGTGGTTTGTACTTCTCCTTGAAGAGGTCCTTCACATTCCTTGTAAGTTGGATTCCTAGGTATCTTATTCTCTTTGAAGCCATTGTGAATGGGAGTTCACTCATGATTTGGCTCTCTGTTTGTCTGTTGTTGGTCTATAAGAATGTTTGTGATTTTTGTACATTGATTTTGTATCCTGAGACTTTGCTGAAGTTGCTTATCAGCTTAAGGAGATTTTGGGCTGAGACAATGGGGTTTTCTAGATATACAATCATGTCGTCTGCAAGCAGAGACAATTTGACTTCCTCTTTTCCTAACTGAACACCCTTTGTTTCCTTCTCCTGCCTAATTGTCCTGGCCAGAACATCCAACACTATGTTGAATAGGAGTGGTGAGAGAGGGCATCCCTGTCTTGTGCCTGTTTTCAAAGGGAACGCTTCCAGTTTTTGCCCATTCAGTATGATATTGGCTGTGGGTTTGTGATAGATAGCTTTTATTATTTTGAGATATGTTCCATCAATACCTAATTTATAGAGAGTTTTTAGTATGAAGGGTTGTTGAATTTTTTCTAAGACCTTTTCTGCATCTATTGAGATAATCATGTGGTTTTTGTCTTTGGTTCTCTTTACATGCTGGATTACACTTATTGATTTGTGTATACTGAACCAGCCTAGCATCCCAGCGATGAAGCTCACTTGATCATGGTGGATAAGCTTTTTGATGTGCTGCTGGATTCGGTTTGCTAGTATTTTATTGAGGATTTTGCATCAATGTTCATCAAGGATATTGGTCTGAAATGCTCTTTTTTGGTTGTGTCTATCCGGCTTTGGTATCAGGATGATGCTGGCCTCATCAAATGAGTTAGGGAGGATTCCCTCTTTTTCTATTGATTGGAATATTTTCAGAAGGAATGGAGATATTTCAGAAAGCAAGGAGATATTTGTGAGTGCTTTGAGGCCTTTGGTGAAAAAGGAAATACCTTCACATAATAAATAGACAGAAGTTCTCTGAGAAACCCCCCTGTCATGTGTGCATTCATCTCACAGAGTTGAAACAGTCTTTTTGCTGAGCAGTTTGAAAACTGTCTACTTGTAGAATCTGCAAAGGGATATTTATGAGTGCTTTGAGGCCTATGGTGAGAAAGGAAATATCTTCACATAAAAACTAGACAGAAGATTTCTGAGAAATCTCTTTGTGATGAGTGCATTTATCTCACAGAGTTGAACCATTCTTTTGATTGAGCAGTTTGTAAACAGACTTTTTGTAGACTCTGCAAAGGGATATTTGTCAGCTCTATGACGCCTATGGTGAAAAAGGAAATATCTTCAATAAAAACTATAAAGAATTTTTCTGAGAAGCTGTTCTGTAAGATGTGCACTTATCTCAGAGAGATAAAAGTTTCTATTCTTTGATGAGTCTGGAAACTCTGTTCTTGTAAAATCTGCAAAGGGATATTTGTGAGTGGCTTTAGGCCTATGGTGAAAAGGGAAATATCTTCACATAAAAACTAGACAGAAGATTTCAGAGAAACTTCTTTTTGATGTGTGCATTCATTTCACAGAGTTGAACCATTCTTTTGATTGAGAAGTTTGGAAACAGTCTTTTCAGAGAATCTGCAAAGGGATATTTTGAGTGCTTTGACAGGTATGGTGAAAAGGGAAATATCTTCACATAAAAACTGGACAGAAGCTTTCTGAGAAACTTCTTTGTGATGTGTGCTTTCAACTCACGGAGTTGTACCTTTCTTTTGATTGAGCAGCTTGGAAACAGTCTTTTTGTGGAATCAGCAAATGGATGTTTGGAGTGCTTTGATGCCCATGGTGAAACAGGAAATACCTTCACATAAAAAATAGACAGAAGCATTGTGAGAAACATCTCTGCCATGTGTGCATTCATCTCATAGTGTTGCACCTTTGTTTGATTGAGCAGTTTGGAAACAGTCCTTTTGTAGAATCTGCAAAGGGATATTTCTGAGCCCATTGAAGCCTAGGGTGAAAAAGAAATGTCTTCACATAAAAACTAGACAGAAGCATTCTGATAAACTATTTTGTGATGTGTCCATTCATCTCACAGAGTTAAAACTTTCTTTGGATTGAGCAGTTTGCAAAAAGTCTTTTTGTAGAATCTGCAAAAAATATTTTTGAGCCTTATATGGCCGAAGGTGAAATAGGAAATATCTTCACAAAAAAACTAGACAGAAGCATTCTGAGAAACTTCTTTGTGGCATGTGCTTCCGTGTCACAGAGTTGAACCTTTCTTTTGATTGAGCAGTTTGGAAAAACTCTTTTTGTAGAATCTGCAAATGGGTATTTGGAGTGCTTTGAGGCCTATGGTCAAAAAAGAAATAACTTCACATAAAGACTAGACAGATGCATTCTGCGAAACTTCTTTGTGATGTGTGCATTCATCTCACAGAGTTGAATCTTTCTTTGGATTCAGCAGTTTTCTAAACAGTCCTTTTGTAGAATCTGCAAAGGGATATTTCTGAGCCCATTGAGGCCTATGGTGAAAAAGGAAATATCTTCAAATAAAAACCAAACAGAAGCTTTCTGAGAAGCTTCTTGTGATGTGTGCATTCATCTCATAGAGTTGAATCTTTCTTTTGATTGAGCAGTTTGGAAACAGTCTTTTGTAAAAATCTGCAAAAGGATATTTCTGAGCCATTTGAGGCCGATGGTGAAAAAGAAATATCTTCACATCAAAACTAGACAGAAGCATTCTGAGAAACTTGTTTCTGATGTGTGCATTCATCTCACAGGGTTGAACCTTTCTTTTGTTTGAGCAGTTTGGAAAGAGTCTTTTTTTTTGAATATGCAAATGGATATTTGTGAGCCCTTTACAGCCTATGGTGAAATAGGAAATATCTTCACATAAAAATAAGACAGAATCTTTCTGAGAAAATGCTTTGTGATGTGTGCTTTCATCTCACAGAGATGAACTTTTCTTTTGATTGAGCAGTTTGGAAACATTCTTTTTGTAGAATCTGCAAATGGATATTTGCAGCTCTTTTAGGCCTATGGTGAAAAAGGAAATATCTTCACAAAAACGCTAAAAAGAAGCTTTCTGAGAAACTTCTTTGTGATGTGTGGATTCATATCACAGAGCTGATCCTTTCTTTTGATTGAGCAGATTGGAAACCATCTTTTTGTACAACCTGCAAAGGGATATTTCTGAGCCATTTGATGCCTATGGGGAAAAAGAATTATCTTCACATAAAAACTAGACAGAATCATTCTGAGAAATTTCCTTGTGATGTGTGCCTTCATCTCGCAGAGTTGAACCTTTCTTTTCTTGGAGCAGTTTGGAAACAGTCTTTTTGTAGTATCTGCAGGGGGATATTTGTGAACAGTTAAAGGCCTATGGTGAAAAATAAAATATCTTCACATAAAAACTATACAGAAGCATTCTGAGAAACTTCTTTTGTGTGTGTGCATTCCTCTCACAGAGATGAATCTTTCTTTTCTTTGAGCAGTCTATAAACAGTCTTTTTATACAATGTGCAAAGGGATATTTCTGAGTGGTTTGAGGCCTATGGTGAAAAAGTAATATCTTCACATAAAAACTAGACGGAAGCATTCTGAGAAACTTCTTTTTTATGTGTGCGTTCACCTCACAGAGTTGAGACTTTCTTTTCATTGAGCAGTTCGGAAACAGTCTTTTTGTAGAATCTTCAAAGGGATACTTGTGATTCCTTTGAGGCCTGTGGTGAAATAGGAAATATCCTCAAATAAAAACTAGACAGAAGCTTTCCGAGACACTTCTTTTTGATGTGTGCTTTCATCTCACAGAGTTGAACCTTTCTTTTGATTGAGCAGTTTGGAAACAGTCTTTTTGTGGAATCTGCAAATGGATGTTTGGAGTGTTTTGAGGCCTATGGTTAAAAAGTAAATATCTTCACATAAAAACTAGATGGAAGCATTCTGAGAAACTTCTTTGTGACGTGTGCATTCATCTCATGTTGTTGAGCCTATCTTTTGATATAGTAGATTGGAAACAGTCCTTTTATTGTATCTGCAGAGGAATATTTGTGAGCGGTTTGAGGCCTATGCTGAAAAAGGAAATAACTTCACATAAAAACTAGACAGAAGCATTCTGGGAAGCTTCTCTGTGATGTGTGCATTCAACTCACAGAGGTGAACCTTTCTTTAGATTGAGCAGTTTGGAAACAGTCCTTTTTTAGAATCTGCAAAGGGATATTTCTGAGCCCATCGAGGCCTAAATAAATATCACACATAAAATATTTATCACATAAATATTTTATGTGAACATAAAAACTGGACAGATGCATTCTGATAAACTTCTCTGTGATGTGTCCATTCATCTCACAGAGTTGAAACTTTCTTTGGATTGAGCAGTTTGGAAAAATTCTTTTAGTAGTATTTGCAAAAAATATTTGTGAGCCCTTTATGGCCTATGGTAAAAAAGGAAATATCTTCACATAAAAACTAGACAGAAGCTTTCTGAGAAACTACTTTGTGATGTGTACTTTCATCTCACAGAGATGAACCTATCTTTTGAAAGAGCGGTTTGGAAACACTCTTTTTGTAGAGGCTGTAAACGGATATTTGGAACACTTTGAGGCCTATGGTGAAAAAGGAAATATCTTCAAATGAAAACCAGAGAGAAGCATTCTGAGAAACTTCTTTGTGATGTGTGTATTCATCTCACGAAGATGAACATTTCTTTGGATGCAGCAGTTTGGAAACAGTCTTTTTGTAGTATCTGCAGAGGAATATTCATGAGCGGTTTAAGGCCTGTGGTTAAAAAGAATATATCTTCACATAAAAAGCCGACAGATCCATTGTGAGAAACTTGTTTATGATGTGTGCATTCATCCCACAGAGTTGAAACTTTCTTTAGATTGAGCAGTTTAATAAGCAGTCCTTTCATAGAATCTGCAAAGGGATATTTCTGAGCCCATTGAGGCTTATGGTGAAAAAGGAAATATCTTCACATGAAAGCTAAACAGAAGCTTTCTGAGAAACTTCTTTGTGATGTGTGCATTCATCTCACAGTGTTGAAACTTTCTTTTCATTGAGCAGTTTGGAAACAGTCTTTTTGTACAATCTGCAAAGGGATATTTCTGAGCCATTTGAGGTCTATTGTGATAGAGAAATATCTTCACATAAAACCTAGACAAAAGCATTCTGAGAAACTTCTTTGTAATGTGTGCATTCATCACACAGAGTTGAACCTCTCTTTTGATTGAGCAGTTTGGAAGCAGTCTTTTTGTAGAATATGCAAAAGGATATTTGTGAGCCCTTTCAGGCCTATGGTGAAATAGGGAATATCTTCACAAAAAAAACTAAACAGAAGCTTTCTGAGAAACTTCTTTGTGACGTGTGTTTTCATCTCACAGAGTTGAACTTTTCTTTTGATTGAGCAGTTTGGAAACAGTCTTTTTGTAGAATCTGAAGATGGATATTTGCAGCATTTTAGGCCTATGGTGAACAGGAAATATCTTCACATAAAAACTAGACAGAAGCATTCTGAGAAACTTCTTTGTGAAGTCTGCATTCACATCAGAGAGTTGAAACTTTCCTTGGATTGAGAAGTTTGGAAAGAGTCCTTTTATAGAATCTGTAAAGGGATATTTGTGAGCCCATTGGGGCCTATGGTGAAATAGGAAATGTCTTTACATAAAAACTAGACAGAAGCTTTCTGAAAAACTACTTTGTGCTGTGTGCATTCACCTCACAGAGTTAAACCTCTGTTTTGATTGAGCAATTTGGAAACACTCTTTTTGTAGAATTTGCAAATGGATATTTGGAGTGCTTTGAGGCCTATGGTTGAAAAAGGAAATAGCTGCATATAAAAACTAGACAGAAACTTTCTGAGAAACTTCTTTGTGATGCATGCTTTCATCTCACAGATTTGGACCTTGCTTTTCATTGAGCAGTTTGGCAACAATTCATTTTGTAGAATCTGCAAAGGGATATTTGTGAGTGGTTTGAGGCCTATAGTGAAAAAGTAAATATCTTCACCTAAAACCCAGATAGAAGCATTTTCAGAAAACTCTTTGTGATGTATGCATTCATCTCACTGAGTTGAACCTTTCTGTTTATTGAGCAGTGTGGAAGCATACTTTTTGTGCAATCTGCAAAGGAATATTTGTTTACGGTTTGAGACCTATGGTGAAAAAGTAATATCTTCACATAAAAAGTAGACAGAAGCATTCTGAGAAACTAATTTTTTATGTGTGCATTGATCTCAAAGAGTTGAACCTTTCTTTTGATGAAGCAGTTTGGAAACAGTTTTTTGAAGAACCCGAAAAGGGATATTTGTGATCCCTTTGAGGCCTAAGGTGAAATAGGGAATATCTTCACATAAAAACTAGACAGAAACTTTCTGAGAAACTTCTTTGTGACGTGGGCTTTCATCTCACAGATTTGAAACTTCATTTTGATTGAGCAGTTTGGAAAGAGTCTTTTTGTAGTATCTGCAGAGGGCTATTAGTGAGTGGACTGAGGCCCATAATGAAAAAGGAAATGGCTTCTCAAAAAAACTAGACAGAAGCATTCTGAGAAACTTCTTTGTAATGTATGCATTCATCTTACAGAGTTAAACCTTTCTTTTGATTGAGCTTTTTGGAAACACTCTTTTTGTGGCATCTGTAAGGGTATACTTCTGAGCCCATTGAGACCTATTTTGAAATATGAAATATCCTCACATAAAAACTAGACAGAAAGTTTCTAAGAAACTCCTTTGTGATGTATGCTTTCATCTCACAGAGTTAAAACTTTCTTTTGATTGAGCAGTTTGGAATCACTCTTTTTGTGAAATCTGTAAATGGATATTAGGAGTGCTTTGAGGCCATTGGTGACAAAGGAAATATCTTCACATAAAAACTAAACAGAAGTTTTCTGAGAAACTTTTTGTGATGTGTGCATTTATCTCACAGAGCTGTACCATTCTTTTGATTGAGCAATTTGGAAACAGTCTTTTTGTGAAATCTGCAAATGCATATTTGGAGCGCTTTGAGGTGTATGGTGAAAAACGAAACTTCCTCACATAAAACTAGACAAAAGCATTCTGAGAAACTTCTTTGTGATGTGTGCTTTCATCACACAAAGTTTAACCTTTCTTTTCATTAAGCAGTGTGCAAACAGTCTTTTTGTAGAATCTGCAAAGGGATATTTGTTAGTGGTTTGAGGCCTATGGTGAAAAAGGAAATACCTTCACATAAAAACCAGACAGAAGCTTTTTGAGAAACCTCTTTGTGATGTTTGCATTCATCTCACAGAGTCAAATCTTCCTTTTCATTGAGCAGTTTGGAAACGGTTTTTTTGCACAATCTGTAAAGGGATATTTCTGAGCAGTTTTAGGCCTACGGTGAAAAAGAAATATGTTCACATAAAAATTAGACAGAAGCATTCTGGGAAACTTCTTTGTGATGTGTGCATCCAACCCACAGAGTTGAACCTTTCATTTCATTGAGTAGTTCGGAAACAGACTTTTCATAGAATCTGCAAAGGGATATTTCTGAGCCCTTTGAGGCCTATATTGAAATAGGAAATATCTTCACATAAAAACTAGACAGAAGCTTTCTGAGAAACTTCTTTGTGATGCGTGCTTTCATCTCACAGAGTTGAACCTTTTTTTTGATGGAGCAGTTTGGAAACAGTCCTTTTGTAGAATCTGCAAAGGGATATTTCTGAGCCCTTTGAGACCTTATGGTGAAATAGGTAATATCTTCACATAATAACTAGACAGAAGCATTCTGAGAAACTTCTTTGTGATGTGTGCTTTCATTTCACAGAGTAGAACCTTTCCTTTGATTGAGCAGTTTGGAAACACTCTTTTTGTAGAATCTGTAAACAGATATTTGGAGTGCTTTGAGGCATAAGGTGAAAAAGGAAGTATCTGCACATAAAAACTAGACAGAAACTTTCTGAGAAGCTTCTTTGTGATGTGTGCTTTCATATGACATATTTGAACCTTTCTTTCATTGAGCAGTTTGGGAACAAGTCATTTTGTAGAATCTGCAAAGGTATATTTGTGAGCGGTTTGAGGCCTATGGTGAAAAACTAAATATCTTCACATAAAAATCAGACAGAAACTTTTTGAGATCACTCTTTGTGATATTTGCATTCATCTCAAAGAGTTGAACCTCTCTCTTCATTGAGGAGTTTGGAGACATTCTTTTTGTGCAATCTGCAAAGGAATATTTCTGAGGGGTTTGAGGTCTATGGTGAAAAAGAAATAACTTCACATAAAAACTTGACAGAAGCATTCTGAGAAACTTCTTTTTTATCTGTGCATTCACCTCACGAGTTGAACCTTTCTTTTCATTGAACAGTTTGGAAGCAGTCTTTTTGTAGAATCTGCAAAGGGATATTTGTGATCCCTTTGAGTTCTATGATGAAATAGGAAATATATTCACATAAATACTAGACAGAAGCTTTCTGAGAAACTTCTTTGTGATGTGTGCTTCCATCCTACAGAGTTGAACCTTTCTTTTGATTGATAACTTTGGAAACAGTATTTTTGAAGAATCTACAAAAGGATATTTGGAGAGCTTTGAGGCCTACAGTTAAAAAGGAAATATATGCACATAAAAACAAGACAGAAGCATTTTGAGAAACTTCTTTGTGATGCACACTTTCATTTCACAGAGTTGAATCTTTCTTTTGAATGAGCAGCTTAGAAACAGTCTTTTTGTACAATCTGCAAAGGGATATTTCTGAGCCATTTGAGGCTTATGGTGAAAACGAAATATCTGCACATAAAAACTTGACAGAAGCATTCTGAGAAACTTCCTTGTGATATGTCCATTCATCTCACAGAGTTGAACCTTTCTTTTGATTGAGCAGTTTGGAAGCAGTCGTTTTGTAGAATCTGCAAGGCATATTTGTGAGCCCTTTATGGCCTGTGGTGAAATATGAAATATCTTCACATAAAAACTAGACAGAAGATTTCTGAGAAACTTCTTTGTGATGTGTGCTTTCATCTCACAGTGTTGAACCTTTCTTTGATTGAGCAGTTTGGAAAGTCTTTTTTGTAGAATCTGCAAATGGATATTTGGAGCTATTTCAGGCCCATGGTGAAAAAGAAAGTATCTTCACATAAAAACTAGACAGAAGATTTCTGAAAAACTTCTTTGTGATGTGTGAATTCATGTCACAGAATTCAACCTTTCTTTCGATTGAGCAGTTTGGAAACAGTCTTTTGTAGAAGCTGCAAAGGGAAATTTCTTAGCCGTTTGAGGCCTATAGTGAAAAAGAAATATCTTCACATAAAAACTAGACAGAAGCTTTCTAAGAAACTTCTTTGTGATGTGTCCATTCATCTCACAGAGTTAAACCTTTCTTTTGATTGAGGAGTTTGGAAAATGTCTTCTCTTAGAATCTGCAAAGGGATATTTGTGAGCCCTTTATGGCCTATGTTGAAATATGAAATATCTTCACATAAAAACTAGACAGAAGCTTTCTGAGAAACTCCTTTGTGGTGTGCACGTTTGTATCACAGAGTTGAACCTTTCATTTGATTGAGCAGTTTGGAAACAGTCTTTTTGTAGAATCTGCAAATGTATATTTGGAGTGTTTTAAGGCCTATAGTGAAAAAGGAAATATCTTCACATAAAAACTACACAGTAGCTTTTTGAGAAAACTCTTTGTGACATTTCCATTCATATCTAAGAGTTGACCATTTCTTTTCACTGAGCAGTTTGGAAACAGTCTTTTTGTAGAAACTGCAAGGGGATATTTCTGAGCAGTTTGAGGCCAATGGTGAAAAATAAATATCTTCACATGAAAACTAGACAAAAACATTTTCAGAAACTTCTTTGTGATGTGTGCATTCATCTCACAGAGTTGAACATTTTTTTTGATTTAGCAATTTGGAGAAAGTCTCTTGGTAGTATAAGTGGAGTTATATTTGTGAGCGGTTTAAGGCCTATGGTGCAAAAGGAAATACCTTCACATAAAAAGTAGACAGAAGCTTTCTGAGAAACTTCTTTGTGATGTGTGCTTTCGTCTCACAGAGTTGATCCTTTCTTTTGATTGACCAGTTTGGAAATATTCTTTTTGTAGGATCTGCAAATGGATATTCAGAGCGATTTGAGGCCTATGGTGAAAAAGGAAATATCTTCACATAAAAACTAGACAGAAGAATTCTGAGAAACTTCTTTGTGATGAGTCCATTCATCTCACAGAGTTGAAACATTCTTTGATGGACCAGTTTGGAAACAGTCTTTTTGTAGTATCTGCAGAAGGATATTTTTGAGTGGTTTAAAGACTATGGTGAAAAAGAAAATATCTTCACATAATAACTAGACAGAAGCATTCTGAGAAACTTCTTTGTGATGTGTGCATTCATCTCACAATGTTGAACGTTTCTTTTGATTGAGCAGTTTGGAAACAGAACTTTTGTAGAATCTGCAAAGGGGTATTTGTGAGCCCATTGATTCCTATGGTGAAATAGGAATTATCTTGAGATAAAAACTAGACAGAAGATTTCTGAGAGAGTTCTTTGTGATGTGTGCTTTCATCTCACAGAGTTGAAAATTTCTTTTGATTGAGCCGTTTGGAAACAGTCTTTTTGAATAATCTGCAAATGGATATTTGGAGCACTTTGTGGCCTAAGGTGAAAATGGAAATATCTTCACATAAAAACGAGACAGAAGAATTCTGAGAAACTTCTTTGTGATGTGTGCATTCATCTCAGAGAGGTGAACTTTTCTTTTGATGGAGCAGTTTGGAAACAGTATTTTTTTAGTATCTGCAGAAGGATATTTGTGAGCGGTTTAAGGCCTATGGGGAAAAAGGAAATACCTTCACATAAAAACTACACAGAAGCTTTCTGAGAAACTTCTTTGTGATGTGTGCATTCATCTCACAGTGTTGAAACTTTATTTTGTTTGAGCAGTTTAGAAACAGTATTTTTCTGCAATCTGCAAAGGTATATTTCTGAGCCATTTGAGGTCTATGGTGAAAAAGAAATATCTTCACATTTAAACTAGACAGAAGCATTCTGAGGAACCTCTTTGTGATGTCTCCATTCATTTGACAGAGTTGAATGCTTCTTTTAATTCAGAAGTTCGGCAACCATATTTTTGTAGAATCTGCAAAGGGATATTTGTGAGACATTTGAAGCCTATAGTGAAATAGTAAATATCTTCACATAAAAACTAGACAGAAGAATTCTGAGAAACTTCATTCTAATGTGTGCATTCACCTCACAGAATTTAACCTTTCTTTTGATTGAGCAGTATGGAAATGGTCCTCTTTTAGAACCTGCAAAGGGATATTTCTTAGCCCTTTGAGGCCTATGGTGAAACTGGAAATATCTTCACATGAAAACCAGACCAAAGCTTTCTGAGAAACTTCTTTGAGATGTGTGCTTTCATCTCACAGAGTTAAATCTTTCTTTTGATTCAGCAATTTGGAAAAACTCTTTTTGTGAAATCTGTAAATGGATATTAGGAGTGCTTTGAGGTCATTGGTGACAAAGGAAATATCTTCACATAAAAACTAAACAGAAGTTTTCTGATAAACTACTTTTTTATGTGTCCATTAATCTAACAGAGTTGAAACTTTCTTTCTTTTGATTGAGCAATTTGGATACAGTCTTTTTGTAGAATCTGCAAAAAATATTTGTGAGCCCTTTATTGCCTATGGTGAAGTAGGAATTTTCTTCACATATAAACTAGACAGAAGCATTCTGAGAAACTTCTTTATGATGTGTGCATTAATCTCACAGAGTTGAAACTTTATTTGGATTGAGCAGTTTGGAAACAGTCCTTTTGTAGAATCTGCATAGGGATATTTCTGAGCCCATTGAGTACTACGGTGAAATGTGAAATATCTTCACATAAAAACTAGACAGAAGCTTTCTAAGAAACTTGTTTGTGATGTGTGCTTTCATCTCACAGAATTGAAACTTTCTTTTGATTGAGGAGTATGGAAACACTCTTTTTCTAGAATCTGCAGATGGATATTTGGAGCACTTTGAGGCCCATGGTGAAAAAGAAATATCTTCACATAAAAACTAAACAGAAGCTTTCTGAGAAACTTCCTTGTGATGTGTGCATTCATCTCACAGAGTTGAACCTTTTTTTTTGATTGAGCAGGTTGGAAAGAGGCTTATTGTACAATCTGCAAAGGGATAATTCTGATCCATTTGAGGCCTATGGTGAAAGAGTAATATCTTCACATAAAAACTAGACAGAGTCAGTCCGAGAAATTTCTTTGTGATGTGTCCATTCATCTCACAGAGTTGAACCTTTCCTTTGATTAAGCAGTTTGGAAACAGTGTTTTCATAGAAACTTCAAAGGGATATTTGTGAGCCCTTTATGGCGTCAGATGAAAGAGGAAATATTTTCACACACAAACTAAAGAGAAGAAATCTGAGTAACTTTTTTGTGATGTGTGCTTTCATCTCAGAAAGCTAAAAATTTGTTTTGATTGATCAGTTGGGAAACAGTCTTTTTGTAGAATCTGCAAATGGATATTTGGATTGCTTTGAGGCCTATGTTGAGAAAGGAAATATCTTCACATAAAAACAAGACAGAAGATTTCTGAGAAACTTCTTTGTTATGTGTACACTCATCTCGCATGTTTGAACCTTTCTTTTGATTGAGCAGTTTGGAAACAGTCTTTTTGTACAATCTACAAAGGGATATTTCTGAACGGTTTGATGCCTATGGTGAAAAAGAAATATCTTCACATAAAAACTAGACTGAAGCATTATGAGAAAGTAATTTATTATGTGTGCATTCATCTCACAGAGCTGAACCTTTCTTTTCATGGAGCAGTTTGAAAACTGTGTTTTTGTACAGTCTGCAAAGGGATATTTGTGAGACCTTTGAGGCCTATGGTGATATAGGAAATATCTTCACAAAAAAAGTAGACAGAAGCATTATGAGAAACTTCTTTGTGATGTGTGCTTTCTTCTGACAGATTTGAATCTATCTTTTAATTGAACAGTTTGGAAACTCTTTTTTTGTAGATTCTGCAAAAGGATATTTGGAGCACTTTGAGACCTATAGTGAAAAAGGAATTATCTTCACTTAAAAACTAAACGGAAGCTTTCTGAAAAACTTCTTTGTGATGTGCATATTCATGTCACAGTGTTGAACCCTTGTTTTCATTGAGCAGTTTGGAAACCATCTTTTTCTACAATCTGCAAAGGGATATTTCTGAGCACTTTGAGGCCTAAGGTGAAAAACAAATATCTTAACATAAAAAGTAGAAAGAGGCATTCTGAGAAACTTCTTTTTCATGTATGCATTCTTCTCCCAGAATTGAACCATTCTTTTCTTTTTTATTATTATTATTATACTTTACATTTTAGGGTACAAGTGCACAATGTTCAGGTTACTTACATATGTATACATGTGCCATGCTGGTGCGCTGCACCCACTAACTCGTCATCTAGCATTAGGTATATCTCCCAATGCAATCCCTCCCCTTCCCCCCACCCCACAACAGGGCCCAGAGTGAGACGTTCCCCTTCCTGTGTCCATGTCTTCTCATTGTTCAATTCCCACCTATGAGTGAGAATATGCGGTGTTTGGTTTTTTGTTCTTGCGATAGTTTACTGAGAATGATGATTTCCAATTTCATCCATGTCCCTACAAAGGACATGAACTCATCATTTTTTATGGCTGCATAGTATTCCATGGTGTATATGTGCCACATTTTCTTAATCCAGTCTATCATTGTTGGACATCTGGGTTGGTTCCAAGTCTTTGCTATTGTGAATAGTGCCACAATAAACATACATGTGCATGTGTCTTTATAGCAGCATGATTTATAGTCCTTTGGGTATATACCCAGTAATGGGATGGCTGGGTCAAATGGTGTTTCTAGTTCTAGATCCCTGAGGAATCGCCACACTGACTTCCACAACGGTTGAACTAGTTTACAGTCCCACCAACAGTGTAAAAGTATTCCTATTTCTCCACATCCTCTCCAGCACCTGTTGTTTCCTGACTTTTTAATGATTGCCATTCTAACTGGTGTGAGATGGTATCTCATTGTGGTTTTGATTTGCATTTCTCTGATGGCCAGTGATGATGAGCATTTTTTCATGTGTTTTTTGGCTGCATAAACGTCTTCTTTTGAGAAGTGTTTGTTCATGTCTTTCGTCCACTTTTTGATGGGGTTGTTTGTTTTTTTCTTGTAAATTTGTTTGAGTTCATCATAGATTCTGGATATTAATCCTTTGTCAGATGAGTAGGTTGCGAAAATTTTCTCCCATTTTGTAGGTTGCCTGATCACTCTGATGGTAGTTTCGTTTGCTGTGCAGAAGCTCTTTAGGTTAATTAGATCCCATATGTCAATTTTGGCTTTTGTTGCCATTGCTTTTGGTGTTTTAGACATGAAGTCCTTGCCCATGCTTATGTCCTGAATGGTAAAGCCTAGGTTTTCTTCTAGGGTTTTTATGGTTTTAGGTCTAACGTTTAAGTCTTTAAGCCATCTTGAATTGATTTTTGAATAAGGTGTAAGGAAGGGAAGCAGTTTCAGCTTTCTACATATGGCTAGCCAGTTTTCCCAGCACCATTTATTAAACAGGGAATCCTTTCCCCATTGCTTGTTTTTCTCAGGTTTGTCAAATTTCAGATAGTTGTAGATATGTGGCGTTATTTCTGAGGGCTCTGTTCTGTTCCATTGGTCTATATCTCTGTTTTGTTACCAGTACCATGCTGTTTTGGTTACTGTAGCCTTGTAGTATAGTTTGAAGACAGGTAGTGTGATGCCTCCAGCTTTGTTCTTTTGGCTTAGGATTGATTTGGAAATGCGGGCTCTTTTTTTATTCCACACGAACTTTAAAGTAGTTTTTTTCCAATTCTGTGAAGAAAGTGATTGGTAGCTTGATGGGGATGGCATTGAATCTGTAAATTACCTTGGGCAGTATGGCCATTTTCAAGATATTAATTCATCCTACCCATGAGCATGGAATATTCTTCCATTTGTTTGTATCCTCTTTTATTTCCTTGAGCAGTGGTTTGTAGTTCTCCTTGAAGAGGTCTTTCACATACCTTGTAAGTTGGATTCCTAGGTATTTTATTCTCTTTGAAGCAATTGTGAATGGCAGTTCACTCATGATTTGGCTCTCTGTTTGTCTGTTGTTGGTCCATAAGAATGCTTGTGAATTTGTACATTGATTTTGTATCCTGAGACTTTACTGAAGTTGCTTATCAGCTTAAGGAGATTTTGGGCTGAGACAATGGGGTTTTCTAGATATACAATCATGTCGTCTGCAAACAGGGACAATTTGACTTCCTCTTTTCCTAATTGAATACCCTTTATTTCCTTCTCCTGCCTAATTGCCCTGGCCAGAACTTCCAACACTATGTTGAATAAGAGTGGTGAGATAGTGCATCCCTCTCTTGTGCCAGTTTTCAAAGGGAATGCTTCCAGTTTTTGCCCATTCAGTATGATATTGGCTGTGGGTTTGTCATAGATAGCTCTTATTATTTTGAAATACATCCCATCAATACCTAATTTATTGAGAGTTTTTAGCATGAAGGGTTTTTGAATTTTGTCAAAGGCCTTTTCGGCATCTATTGAGATGATCATGTGGTTTTGGTCTTTGGTTCTGTTTATATGCTGGATTACATTTATTGATTTGCATATATTGAACCAGCCTTGCATCCCAGGGATTAAGCCCACTTGATCATGGTGGATAAGCTGTTTGATGTGCTGCTGGATTCGGGTTGCCAGTATTTTATTGAGGATTTTTTCATCAATGTTCATCAAGGATATTGGTCTAAAATTCTTTTTTTGTTGTTGTGTCTCTGCCCGGCTTTGGTATCAGGATGATGCTGGCCTCATAAAATGAATTAGGGAGGATTCCCTCTTTTTCTATTGATTGGAATAGTTTCAGAAGGAATGGTACCAGTTCCTCCTTGTACCTCTGGTAGTATTCGGCTGTGAATCCATCTGGTCCTGGACTCTTTTTGGTTGGTAAGCTATTGATTATTGCCAAATTTCAGCTCATGTCATTGGTCTATTCAGAGATTCAACTTCTTTCTGTTTTAGTCTTGGGAGGGTGTAGGTGTCGAGGAATTCATCCATTTCTTCTAGATTTTCTAGTTTATTTGCATACAGTTGTTTGTAGTATTCTCTGATGGTAGTTTGTATTTCTGTGGGATCGGTGGTGATATCCCCTTTATCATTTTATATTGCGTCTATTTGATTCTTCTCTCTTTTTTTCTTTATTAGTCCTGCTAGCGGTCTATCAATTTTCTTGATCCTTTCAAAAAACCAGCTCCTGGATTCATTAATTTTTTGAAGGGTTTTTTGTGTCTCTATTTCCTTCAGTTCTGCTCTGATTTAATTATTTCTTGCCTTCTGCTAGCTTTTGAATGTGTTTGCTCTTGCTTTTCTAGTTCTTTTAACTGTGATATTAAGGTGTCCATTTTGGATCTTTCCTGATTTCTCTTGTGGGCATTTAGTGCTATAAATTTCCCTGTACACACTGCTTTGAATGCATCCCAGAGATTCTGGTATGTTGTGTCTTTGTTCTCGTTGGTTTCAAAGAACATCTTTATTTCTGCCTTCATTTCGTTATGTACCCAGTAGTCATTCAGGAGCACGTTGTTTAGTTTCCATGTTGTTGAGCGGTTTTGAGTGAGATTCTTAATCCTGAGTTCTAGTTTGATTGCACTGTGGTCTGAGAGATAGTTTGTTATAATTTCTGTTCTTTTACATTTGCTGAGGAGAGCTTTACTTCCAAGTATGTGGTCAATTTTGGAATAAGTGTGGTGTGGTGCTGAAAAAAATGTATATTCTGTTGATTTGGGGTGGACAGTTCTGTAGATGTCTATTAGGTCTGCTTGGTGCAGAGCTGAGTTCAATTCCTGGGTATCATTGTTAACTTTCTGTCTCATTGATCTGTCTAATGTTGACTGTGGGGTGTTAAAGTCTCCCATTATTAATGTGTGGGAGTCTAAGTCTCTTTGTAGGTCACTCACGACTTGCTTTATGAATCTGGGTGCCCCTGTATTGGGTGCATATATATTTAGGATAGTTAGCTCTTCTTGTTGAATTGATCCCTTTACCATTATGTAATGGCCTTCTTTGTCTCTTTTGATCTTTGTTAGTTTAAAGTCTGTTTTATCAGCGACTAGGATTGCAACCCCTGCCTTTTTTTTGTTTTCCATTTGCTTGGTAGATCTTCCTCCATCCTTTTATTTTGAGCCTATGTGTGTCTCTGCATATGAGATGGGTTTCCTGAATACAGCACTCTGATGGGTCTTGACTCTTTATCCAATTTTCCAGTCTGTGTCTTTTAATTGGAGCATTTAGTCCATTTACATTTAAAGTTAATATTGTTATGTGTGAATTTGAACCTGTCATTATGATATTAGCTGGTTATTTTGCTCGTTAGTTGATGCAGTTTCTTCCTAATCTTGATGGTCTTTACATTTTGGCATGATTTTGCAGTGGCTGGTACCGGTTGTTCCTTTCCATGTTTAGCAGTTCCTTCAGGAGCTCTTTTAGGGCCGGCCTGGTGGTGACAAAATCTCTCAGCATTTGCTTGTCTGTAAATTATTTTATTTCTCCTTCACTTATGAAGCTTAGTTTGGCTGGATATGAAATTCTGGGTTGAAAATTCTTTTCTTTAAGAATGTTGAATATTGGCCCCCACTATCTTCTGGCTTGTAGAGTTTCTGCTGAGAGATCTGCTGTTAGTCTGATGGGCTTCCCTTTGAGGGTAACCTGATCTTTCTCCCTGGCTGCTCTTAACATTTATTCCTTCATTTCAACTTTGGTGAATCTGACAATTATGTGTCTTGGAGTTGCTCTTCTCGAGGAGTATCTTTGTGGCATTCTCTGTATTTCCTGAATCTGAATGTTGGCCTGCCATGCTAGATTGGGGAATTTCTCCTGGATAATATCCTGCAGAGTGGGGGAGGAGAAGCCAAGATGGCCGAATAGAAACTGCTCCAGTCTACAGCTCCCAGCCTGAGCAACGCGGAAGACAGGTGATTTCTGCATTTCCATCTGAGGTACCGGGTTCATCTCACTAGGGAGTGCCAGACTGTGTGCAGGTCAGTGGGTGCGTGCACCATGCACGAGCTGAAGCAGGGCGAGGCATTGCCTCACTCAGGAAGCACAAGGGGTCAGGGAGTTCCCTTTCCTAGTCAAAGAAAGGGGTGACAGATGGCACCTGTAAAATCGGGTCACTCCCACCCGCATACTGCGCTTTTCTGATGGTCTTAAAAAATGGCACACCATGAGATTATATCCTGCACCTGGATTGGAGGATCCTACGCCCACGGAGTCTTGCTGATTGCTAGCACAGCAGTCTGAGATCAAACGGTAAAGCGGCAGTGAGGCTGGGGGAGGGCCGCCTGCCATTGCCCAGGCTTGCTTAGTTAAACAAAGCAGACGAAAAGCTCGAACTCTGTGGAACCCACCACAGGTCAAGGAGGCCTGCCTGACTCTGTAGGCTCCACCTCTGGGGGCAGGGCACAGACAAACAAAAAGACAGCAGTAACCTCTGCAGACTTAAATGTCCCTGTCTGACAGCTTTGAAGAGAGCAGTGGTTCTCCCAGCACACAGCTGGAGATCTGAGAACTGGCAGACTGCCTCCTCAAGTGGGTCCCTGACCCCTGACCCTGGAGCAGCTTACCTGGGAGGCACCCCCCAGCAGGGGCAAACTGACACCTCACATGGCCGGGTACTCCAACAGACCTGCAGCTGAGGGTCCTGTCTGTTAGAAGGAAAACTAACAAACAGAAAGGACATCCATACCAAAAACCCATCTGTACATCACCATCATCAAAGACCAAAAGTAGATAATACCACAAAGATGGGGAAAAAACAGAGCAGAAAAACTGGAAACTCTAAAAAGCAGAGCGCCTCTCCTCCTCCAAAGGAACACAGTTCCTCACCAGCAATGGAACAAAGCTGGACAGAGAATGACTTTGACGAGCTGAGAGAAGAAGGCTTCAGACGATAAAATTACTCCGAGCTACGGGAGGACATCCAAACCAAAGGCAAAGAAGTTGAAAACATTGAAAAAAATTTGGAAGAATGTATAACTAGAATAACCAATACAGAGAAGTGCTTAAAGGAGCTGATGGAGCTGAAAACCAAGGATTGAGAACTACGTGAAGAATGCAGAAGCCTCAGGAACTGATTCAATCAACTGGAAGAAAGGGTATCAGTGATGGAAGATGAAATGAATGAAATGAAGCGAGAAGGGAAGTTTAGAGAAAAAAGAATAAAAAGAAACGAGCAAGACCTCCAAGAAATATGGGACTATGTGAAACGTCCAAATCTACGTCTGATTGGTGTACCTGAAAGTCACGGGGAGAATAGAACGAAGTTGGAAAACCATTCTTTTCATTGAGAAATTCGGAAGCAGTCTTTTTGTAGAATTTGCAAAAGCATATGTGAGCCCACTGAGGCCCATGGTGAAATGGGAAATATCTTCACAGTAAAACTAGACAGAAGCATTCTGAGAAACTTCTTTGTGATGTTTGCATTCATCTCACAGAGTTGAAACTTTCTTTTGATTGAGCAGTTTGGAGAAACTCTTTTTGAAGTATCTGCAAATGGATATTTGGAGTGCTTTGTGGCTTGTGGTGAAAAATTAAATAACTTCACATAAAATCTAGTGAGAAACTTTCTGAAGAACTTCTTTGTGATGTGTGCTTTCATCTCACAGAGTTGAAAATTTCTTTTGATTGAGCAGTTTGGAAATAGTCTTTTGTAGAATCTGCAAATAGAGATTTGGATTGCTTTGAGGCCTATCATTAGAAGGGAAATATCTTCACATAAAAACTAGACAGAAGATTTCTGAGAAACTTCTTTGTGATGTGTGCTTTCATCTCACAGAGTTGAACCATTCTTTTGATGGAGCAGTTAAGAAACAGTCTTTATCTACAATCTGCAAAGGGATATTTCTGAGGGGTTTGAGGCCTATGATGAAAAAGAAATATCTGCATATAAAAACTAGACAGAAGCATTCTGAGAAACTTCTTTTTTAGGTGTGCATTCATCTCACAGAGTTGAAACTTACTTTTCATTGAGCAGTTCTGTAACAGTCTTTTTGTAGAATCTGCAAAAGGATATTTGTGAGCCCTTTGAGGCCCATGGTGTAACAGGAAATTCCTTCACTTAAAAACTAGATGGAAGCATTCTGAGTAACTTCTTTGTGATTTGTGCTTTCATCTCACAGAGTTGAACCTTTCTTTTGATTGAGCAGTTTGGAAAAAGTCTTTTTGTACAATCTGCAAAAGATATTTCATGCACTTTGTGGACTATGGTGAAAAAGGAAATATCTTCACATGAAAACAAGAAAGAAACTTTCTGAGAAACTTCTTTATGATGTGTGCTTTCTTTTTATTTTATTTTATTTTATTATTATTATACTTTAAGTTTAAGGGTACATGTGCACAATGTGCAGGTTAGTTACATATGTATACATGTGCCATGCTGGTGTGCTGCACCCTTTAACTCGTCACTTAGAATTAGGTATGTCACATAATGCTATCCCTTCCCCCTCCCCTCACCCCACAACAGTCCCCGCAGTGTGATGTTCCCCTTCCTGTGTCCATGTGTTCTCATTGTTCAATTCCCACCTATGAGTGAGAACATGTGGTGTTTGGTTTTTTGTCCCCACAATAGTTTACTGAGAATGATGATTTCCAATTTCATCCATGTCCCTACAAAGGACATGAACTCATCATTTTTTATGGCTGCATAGTATTCCATAGTGTATATGTGCCACATTTTCTTAATCCAGACTATAATTGTTGGACATTTGGTTGCTTCCAAGTCTTTGCTATTGTGAATAGTGCCACAATAAACATACGTGTGCATGTGTCTTTATAGCTGCATAAAACCAAAGAGAACAAAGACACAACAAACCAGAATCTCTGGGACACATTCAAAGCAGTTTGTAGAGGGAAATTTATAGCATAAATGCCCACAAGGGAAAGCAGGAAAGATCCAAAATTGACACCCTAACATCATAATTAAAAGAACTAGAAAAGCAAGAGCAAACACATTCAAAAGCTAGCAGAAGGCAAGAAATAGCTAAAATCAGAGCAGAACTGAAGGAAATAGAGACACAAAAAACCCTTCAAAAAATTAATGAATCCAGGAGCTGGTTTTTTGAAAGGAACAACAAAATTGACAGACCGCTAGCAAGACATATAAACAAGAAAAGAGAGAAGAATCAAATAGACTCAATAAAAAATGATAAAGGGGATATTACCACTGATCCCACAGAAATTCAAACTACCATGAGAGAATACTACAAACACCTCTAGGAAAATAAACTAGAAAATCTAGAATAAATGGATAAATTCCTCGACACCTACACCCTCCCAAGACTAAACCAGAAAGAAGTTGAATCTATGAATAGACCAATAACAGGCTCTGAAATTGTGGCAATAATCAATAGCTTACCAAGCAAAAAGAGTCCAGGATCAGATGCATTCACAGCCGAATTCTACCAGAGGTACAAGGAGGAACTGGTACCATTCCTTCTGAAACTATTCCAATCAATAGAAAAAGAGGGAATCCTCCCTAATTCATTTTATGAGGCCAGCATCATCCTGATACGAAAGCCGGGCAGAGAGACAACCAAAAAAGAGAATTTTAGACCAATATCCTTGAAGATCATTGATGCAAAAATCCTCAATAAAATACTGGCAAACTGAATCCAGCAGCACATCAAAAAGCTTATCCACAATGATCAAGTGGGCTTCATCCCTGGGATGCAAGGCTGGTTCAATATACACAAATCAATAAATGTAATCCAGCATATACACAGAACCAAACACAAAAACCACATGATTATCTCAATAGGTGCAGAAAAGGCCTTTGACAAAATTCAACAACACTTCATGCTAAAAACTGTCAATAAGTTAGGTATTGATAGGACGTATCTCAAAATAATAAGAGGTATCTATGAAACTGCTTTGTGATGTGTGCATTCATCTCACAGAGTTGAACCTTTCTTTTGATTGGGCAGTTTGGAAACAGTCTTTTTGTAGAATCTGCAAACAGATGTGTTTCAGCGATTTGAGTCCTTTGGTGAAAAAGGAAATATCAAAAAATAAAATGTAGACAGCATCTTTCTGAAAAACTTCTTTGTGATGTGTGCATTCATCTCACAGGGTTGAAACTTTCTTTTGATTGAGCAGTTTGGAAACAGTCTTTTCGTAGAACCTGCAAAGTGATATTTGTGAATTGTTTGAGTCTTATGGTGAAAAAGGAAATATCTTCACATAAAAACTAGACTCATGTTTTCTGGGAAACTTCTTTGTAATGGGTGCATGCATCTCAAACAGTTGAATCTTTCTTTTGATTGAGCAGTTTGGAAACAGTCTTTTTGGAGAATCTGCAAAGGGATGTTTTTGAGCAGTGTGAGGCATGTGGTGAAAAAGGAAATATCTTCATATAAACACTAGACAGAAGCATTCTGAGAAATCACTTTGTGATGCATGCATTCATCTCACAGAGTTGAATTTTCTTTCATTGAGCAGTTTAGAAACAGTCTTTTTGTAGAATATGCAAAGGGATATTTGTGAGCTTTTTGAGGCCTATTGTGAAAAAGGAAATCTCCACAAATAAAATCTAGATAGAACCCTTCTGAGAAACTTCTTTGTGACGTGTGCATTCATCACACAGAATTGAACCTTTCTTTTGATTGAGCAGTTTGGAAACAGTCTTTTTGTAGAATCTGCAAAGGAAAATTTGTGAACGCTTTGAGGATTATGGTGAAAAAGAAGTATCTTCACATAAAAGCTAGACAGAAACGTTCTGAGAAACTTCTTTGTGATGTGTGCATTCATCTCACACAGCCGAACTTTCATTTGATTGAGCAGTTTGGAAACAGTCCTTTAGTAGAATCTGCAAAGGGTTATTTATGAGAAGTTTGAGGCCTATGGTGAAAAAGGGAGTATCGACAAATAAAAACTAAACAGAAACTTTCTGAGAAACTTCTCTGTGATGTGTGCATTCATCACACAGAGTAAAAACTTTCTTTGATTGAGCAGCTTGGAAACAGTCTTTTTGTAGAATCTGCAAAGAGATATATTTAGGCAGTTTCAGGTCTATCGTGGAAACGGAAATATCTTCACATAAAAACTAGACAGAAGGTTTCTGAGAAAATTCTTTGAGATGTGCTCATTCATCTCACAGATTTGAAGTGTTCTTTTCATTGACCAGTTTGGATAGTCTTTTTGTAGAATCTGCTTTGCGATATTTGTGAGCCCTTTGAAGCCTATGGTGAAAAAAGAAATATCTTCACACAAAAACTAGACAGAAGTTTCTGAGAAACTTCGTTGTGATGTGTGCATTCATCCCAAAGAGTTGAACCTGTCTTTGGATTAAGCAGTTTGGAAACAGTCCTTTGTAGAATGTACAAAGGGATATTTGAGATCCCTTTTTGGTCTATGGCAAAAAAGGAAATGTCTTCACATAAAAACTAGACAGAAGCATTGTGAGAAACTTATTTTTGGTGTGTGCATTCTTCTCACAGAGTTGAACCTTTCTTTAGTTAGAGCAGGTTGGAAAATGTCTTTTTGTAGAATATGCAAAGTGATAATTTGAATGCTTTAAGACTTATGGTGAAAAAGGAAATAGCTTCACATAAAAACTGGATGGAAGCTTTCTGAGAAACTTCTTTGTGATGTGTGCATTCATCTCAAAGAGTTGAAGCTTTGTTTCAGTTGAACAGTTTGGGAAGAGTCTTTTTGTAAAATCTGTAAAGGGACATTTGTGAGCACTTTGAGGCCTATATTGAAAAAGGAAACATCTTCAAATAAAAACTAGACAGAAGCTTTCTGAGAAACTTCTTTGTGATGTGTGCATTCACCTCACAAAGGTGAGCCTTTCTTTTGATTGAGTAGTTTGGAAACAGTCTTTTTTTAGAATCTGCAAAGGGTTATTTATGAGCAGTTTCAGGCCTATGGTGAAAATGGGTGTATTAACAAATAAAAACTAGACAGAAAATTTCTGAGAAACTTCTCTGTGATGTGTGCATTCATCTCGCATAGTGGAAGCTTTCTTTGATTGAGCAGTTTGGAAACAGTCTTTTCGTAGAATCTGCAAAGGGATATATGTAGGCGGTTTGAGGTCTATGGTGAAAACGGAAATATCTTCACATAAAAACTAACAGTTCAATGGGAAGAAACTTTTACTTGTGTGTGATGAATGCACACGTCACAAAGGAGTTACTCAGAAAACTTCTTTCTACTTTTAATGTGAAGATATTTCCTTTTTCACCATATGCCTCAACGCACTCCCAGATATCCCTTTGCAGATTCTACAAAAAGACTGTTTCCAAACTGCTCAATAAACGGAATGGTTCAATCCTGTGAGACGAATGTGCACATCACAAAGAAGTTTCCAAGAAAACTTCCTTCTCGTTTTTATGTGAAGAGATTTCCTTTTTGAACATAGGCCTCAATGCACTCCCAAATATACCTTTGCAGAATCTACAAAAAGACTGTTTCCAAACTGCTCAATCAAAAGAAAGTTTCAACTCTGTTAGATGAATGCACACATCAGAAAGTAGTTTCTCAGCAAGCTTCTCATTAGTTTTTATGTAAAGATAGTTCCTTTTTCAACGTGGGTCTCAAAGCACTCAAAAATATCCCTTTTCAGACTCTAGAATAACAGAGTTTATGAACTGCTCAATGAAAAGAAACGTTTACCTCTGTGAGATGAATACACATATCTTAAAGCAGCTTCTCAGAATGCTTCTTTCTAGTTTTTATGTGAAGATATTTCCTTTTTCACTATAGGCCTCAACACACTCCTAAATATCCCTCTGCAGATTGTACAAAAAGACTTTCCAAACTGCTCAATCAAAACAAATGTTAAACTCTATGAGATAAATGCACACATCACAAAAATTTCTCAGAAAACTTTGGTCTAGTTTTTATGTGATGATATTTCCTTATTCACCATAGGCCTGAAAGCGCTACAAATATCCTTCTGCAGATTCTACAAGAAGACTGTTTGTAAACTGCTCAATCCAAAGAATGTTTCAACTCTGTGAGATGAATGCACACACCACAAAGAAGTTTCTCAGAAACGTTCTTTATGGTTTTTCTGTGAAGATATTTTCTTTTTCAACATAGGCCTCAAAGCCCTCACAAATACCCCTTTGCAGATTCTACAAAAAGACTGTTTCCAAACCGCTCAATAAAAAGAATTATTGAACACTGTGAGATGAATGCACACAGCTCAAAGAAGTTTCTCAGAATCCTTCAGTCTGGTTTTTATGTGAATATATTTCCTTTTACACCATAGGCTTCAAAGTGCTCCAAATATCCATTTGCAGATTCTACAAAAAGACTGTTTCCAAATGGCTCAATCAAAACAAAGGTTTAACTCTGTGTGATTAATGCACACATCATGAAGAAGTTTCTCAGAATGCTTCTGTCTAGTTTTTATGTGAAGATACTTGCTTTTTCACCATAGGCCTCAAAGTGCTCACAAATATCCCTTTAGAGATTCTACAAAAATACTTTTTCCAAATTGCTCAATCAAAAGAAAGGTTCAACTCTGTGAGATGTATTCACACCACAAAGAGGTTTCTCAGAAAGCTTCTCTCTAGTTTTTACATGAAGATATTTTATTTTTCACCATAGGCCTCCAAGCGTTCACAAATATCCCTTTGCAGATTCTACAAGAAGACTCTTTACACATTGCTCAATCAAAAGAATGTTTCATCTCTGTGAGGTGAATGCTCACATCACCAGGATGTTTCTCAGAAAGCTTCTGTGTCGTTTTTATGTGAAGATATTTCCTTTTTCACCATACGCCTCAAAGGGCTCACAAATATCCCTTTGCAGATTTTACAAGAGAAGAGTTTCCAATCTTCTCAATGAAAAGAAACAGACACATCTTGGAGATGAATGCACATATCACAAAGCAGTTTCTGAGAAACATTCTGTCTAGTTTTTATGTGAAGGTATCTCCTTTTTCACCACAGGATGCAAAGCGCTCAAAATTGTCGCTTTGCAGATTCTACAAAAAGATTGTTTCCACACTGCTCATCAAAAGAAAGGTTTACCTCTGTGAGATGAATGCACGTGTCAAAAATAAGTTTCTCAGAAAGCTTCTATTAAGTTTTCATGTGAATGTTTCCTTTTTCACCACGAGCCTCAAAGTGCTCACAAATATCCAGTTGAAGAATATTTAAAAAGACTATTTCCAAACCACTCAACCAAAAGAAAGGTTGAACTGTGTGAGATGAATGCACACATCACAAAGAAGTTTCTCAGAAACCTTCTTTATAGTTTTTCTGTGAAGATATTTCCTTTTTCACTATAGGCCTCAAAGCCCTCACAAATATCTCTTTGCAGATTCTACAAAAACACTGTTTCCAAACTGCTCAATAAAAAGAATTATTGAACTTTTTGAGATGAATTCACACATCTCAAAGAAGTTTCTCAGAAACCTTCAGTCTGGTTTTTATGTGAATATATTTCCTTTTTCACCATAAGCCTCAAAATGCTCCAAATATCCATTTGCAGGTTCTACAAAAAGACTGTTTCCGAATGGCTCAATGAAAAGAAAGTTTCAATTTTGTGAGTTGAATGCACACATCACTGAGAAGTTTCGCAGGAGGCTTCTGTCTAATTTTTATATGAAGACATTTCCTTTTTCACCATAGGCCTCCATCTGCTCACAAATATCCCTTAGCAGATTCTACAAGAACAGAATTTCCAGACTGATCAAAGAAAACAAACCTTTTTCTCTGTGAGATGAATGCACACATCACAAAACTGTTTTTCAGAACCTTCTTTATACTTTTTATGTGACGATATTTCTTTTTTCTCCCTAGGACTCAAAGCACTCAAAAATATCCCTTTGCAGATTCTACAAAAAAGATTGTTTCCAAACTGCTCAATTAAAAAAATAGTTCAACTCCATGAGATGAATGCATACATCACAAAGAAGTTTCTCAGAAACCTTCTTTATAGTTTTTATGTGAAGATATTTCCTTTTTCACCATAGGCCTCAAAGTGCTCAGCAATATCCCTTTGCAGATTCTGCAAAAAGACTGCTTCCCACCTGCTGAATCAAAAAAAATGTTTAAACTCTGTGAGATGGATGCACACATTACAAAGAGGTTTCTCAGAAATCTTTTGTCCATTTTTTATGTGAAGATATTTCCTTTTTCACCATAGTACTCAAAGTCCTGACAAATATTCCTTGCAGATTCTACAAAAAGACTGTTTCCAGACTGCTCAATCAAAAGAATGGTTCAACTCTGTGAGATGATTGCACACATCACAAAGAAGCCACTAAGAAAGCTTCTGTCTAGTTTTTAAGTGAAGATATTTCCTGTTTCACCATAGGCCTCAAAGCACTCACAAATATCCCTTTGCAGATTCTACAAAAACAGAGATTCCTGACTGATCAGAGAAAATAAACGTTTACTTCTTTGAGATCAATGCACATATCACAAAGCTGTTTCTAAGAAACCTTCTTTATACATTTTATATAAATATATTTCCTTTTTCACCATTGGCCTCAAAGTGCTCATAAATATCCCTTTGCAGATTCCACAAACAGACCATTTCCATACTGCTCAATCAAAAGTAAGTTTCATCTTTGTGAGATGAATGCCTACATCACAAAGAGGTTTCTCAGAAAGCCTCTCTCTAATTTTTATGTGAAGATATTTCCTTTTTCACCATAGGCCTCAAAGCACTCACAAATATCCCTTTGCAGACTCTTCAAGAGCAGTTTCCAGACTGACCACAGAAAAGAAACATTTACCTCTGTGAGACGAATGCATACATCACAAAGCTGTTTCTGAGAAACCTTGTTTATACTTTTTATGTGAATATATTTCCTTTTTCACCACAGGTCTTAAAGCACTCATAAATATCCCTTTGCAGATTCTACAAAAAGACTGTTTCCAAACTGTTCAATCAAAAGAATGGTTGAACTCTATGGGATGAATGCACACATCACAAAGAAGTTTCTCGGAAAGCTTCTGTCTAGTTTTTTTGTGAAGATATTTCCTATTTCATCATAGGTCTCATAGCTCTCAAAAATACACCTTTACAGATTCTACAAAAATACTGTATCCAAATTGCTCAATCCAAAGAGAGGTTCAAATCTGTGAGATGAATGCACACATCACAAGGAGGTTTCTCAGAAAGCTTCTCTCTAGTTTTCATGTGAAAATATTTCCTTTTCCACCATAGGCTTCAAAGCATCACAAATATCCCTTTGCAGATTCTACCTACCAAAATACTGTTTACAAACTGCTCAATCAAAAGAATGTTTCAACTCTGTGAGATGAATTCTCGCATCTCCAAGATGTTTCACAGAAAGCTTCTGTCTAGTTTTTACGTGAAGATAATTCCTTTTTCACCATAAGCCTCAAAGCACTGACAAATATCCTTTTGCAGATTTTACAAGAACAGAATTTCCAATCTGCTCAATGAAGGGAAATAGTTACCTTGGTGGGATGAAAGCACACATCACAAAGCAGTTTCTCAGAAATATTCTGTCTAGTATTTATGTAAAGATAATTCCTTTTTCAACACAGGACAGAAAGCGCTAACTAATAACACTTTGGAAATTCTACAAAATACTGTTTTCAAACTGCTCATCAAAAGAAAATTTCATCTCTGTGGGATGAATGCATATATCAAAAAGATTTTTCTCAGAAATTTCTATCTTGTTTTTATGTGAGTGTGTTTCCTTTTTCACCATGGGCCTCAAAGTGCTCAAAAATATCCCTTTGCAGATCCTAAAAAAAGACTGTTTCCAAACTGCTGAATGAAAGGAATGGTTCAACCCTGTGAGATGAATGTGCACATCACAAAGAAGTTTCTCACAAACCTTCTTTATAGTTTTTATGTGAAGATATTTCCTTTTAACCACAGACCTCAAAGCACTCACAAATATACCTTTGCAGATTCTACAAAAAGATGGTTTCCCAACTGCTCAATCAAAAGAATTGTTGAACTCTGTGAGATGAATGCATACATCACAAAGCAGTTTGTCAGAATTCTTTAGTCTAGTTTTTATGTGAAGATATTTTCTCTTTCACCATAGGCCTCAAAGTGCTCAGAAATATCCCTTTACAGATTCCACAAAAAGACGTTTCCAAACTGCTCAATCAAAAGAAAGTTTCAATTCTATGAGATGAATGCACACATCACCAAGAAGTTTCTCAGGATGCTTCTGTCTAGTTTTTATGTGAAGACAATTCCTTTTTCACCATAGGGCTCTATGCACTCACAAATATCCCTTAGCAGATTCTAAAACAACAGAGTTTCCCATATGATCAAAGAAAAAATCGTTTACCTCTGTGAAATGAACGCAGACATCACAAAACAGTTTCTCAGAAACCTTCTTTATAGTTTTCTGTGAAGTTATTTCTTTTTCTGCATAGGTCTCAAAGTGCTCACAAATATCCGTTTGCAGATTCTGCAAAAATACTGTTTCCAAACTGCTGAAGCAAAAGAGAGGTTCAAATCTGTGAGATGAATGCACATATCACAAAGAAGTATCTCAGAAACTTTCCTTATACTTTGTATGTGAAGATATTTCCTTTGTCAACATAGGCCTCAAAGTGAGCAAAAATACTCTTTTTCAGATTGTACAAGAACAGAGTTTACAGACTGATCAGAGAAAATAAATGCTTACCTCTGCGAGATGAATGCACACATCACAAGGCTGTTTTTAGGAAACCTGCTTCACAGTTCTTATGTGAAGATACGTTTTTTTCCACCATAGGCCTCACAGCGTTCCAAATATCCACTAGCAGATTTTACAAAAAGAGTGTTTCAAAACTGTTCAATCAAAGGAAAGGTTGAACTCTGTGAGATGAATGCAAACATCACAAAGAAGTTTCTCAGAATGCTTCTGTCTAATTTTTATGTTAAGGTATTTCCTTTTCCACCATAGGCATCAAAGTGCTCCAAATATCCACATGCAGATACGACAAAAAGACTGTTTCCAAACTGCTCAATCAAAAGTGTGGTTCAATTCTCTGAGATGAATACACACATAACTAAGAAGTTTCTCAGAATGCTTCTGTCTAGTTTTCATATGAAGATATTTCCTTTTCCAACATAGGCCTCAAATCGCCCCAAATATCCACTTGCAGATTCTACAAAAAGAGTATTTCAAAACTGGTCAATCAAAAGAAAGTTTGAACTCGGTGAGATGAACACACACATCACAAAGAAGTTTCTCAGAATGCTTCTGTCCAGTTTTTTTTTTTTGAAGAGATTTTAGCATTTATTTATTTATTTATTTTTTATTATTATACTTTAAGTTTTAGGGTACATGCGCACAAAGTGCAGGTTAGTTACATATGGATACATGTGCCATGCTGGTCTGCTGCACCCACTAACTCGTCATCTAGCATTAGGTATATCTCCCAATGTTATCCCTCTCCCCTCACCCCACAACGGGCCCCAGAGTGTGATGTTCCCCTTCCTGTGTCCATGTGTTCTCATTGTTCAATTCCCACCTATGAGTGAGAATATGCGGTGTTTGGTTTTTTGTTCTTGTGATAGTTTACTGAGAAAGACAATTTCCAATTTCATCCATGTCCCTACAAAGGACATGAACTCATCATTTTTTATGGCTGCATAGTATTCCATGGTGTATATGTGCCACATTTTCTTAATCCAGTCTATCATTGTTGGACATCTGGGTTGGTTCCAAGTCTTTGCTATTGTGAATACTGCCGCAATAAACATACGTGTGCATGTGTCTTTATAGCAGCATGATATATAGTCCTTTGGGTGTATACCCAGTAATGGGATGGCTGGGTCAAATGATATTTCTAGTTCTAGATCCCTGAGGAATCGCCACACGGACTTCCACAATGGTTGAACCAGTTTACAGTCCCACCAACAGTGTAAAAGTATTCCTATTTCTCCACATCCTCTCCAGCACCTGTTGTTTCCTGACTTTTTAATGATTGCCATTCTAACTGGTGTGAGATGGTATCTCATTGTGGTTTTGATTTGCATTTCTCTGATGGCCAGTGATGGTGAGCATTTTTTCATGTGTTTTTTGGCTACATAAACGTCTTCTTTTGAGAAGTGTCTGTTCATGTCCTTTACCCACTTTTTGATGGGGTTGTTTGTTTTTTTCATGTACATTTGTTTGAGTTCATTGTAGATTCTGGATACTAGTCTTTTGTCAGATGAGTAGGTTGTGAAAATTTTCCCTCATTTTGTAAGTTGCCTGTTCATTCTGATGGCAGTTTCTTTTGCTGTGTAGAAGCTCTTTAGTTTAATTAGATCCCATTTGTCAATTTTGGGTTTTGTTGCCACTGCTTTTGGTGTTTTAGACAAGAAGTCCTTGCCCATGCCTATGTCGTGAATGGTAATGCCTAGGTTTTCTTCTAGGGTTTTTATAGTATTAGGTCTAACGTGTAAGTGTTTAATCCATCTTGAATTGATTTTTGAATAAGGTGTAAGGAAGGGATCCAGTTTCAGCTTTCTACATATGGCTAGCCAGTTTTCCCAGCAGCATTTATTAAATAGGGAATCCTTTCCCCATTGCTTGTTTTTCTCAGGTTTGTCAAAGATCAGAGAGTTGTAGATATGTGGCATTATTCCTCAGGGCTCTGTTCTGTTCCATTGATCTATATCTCTGTTTTGGTACCAGTACCATGCTGTTTTGGTTACTGTAGCCTTGCAGTATAGTTTGAAGTCAGGTAGTGTGATGCCTCCTGCTTTGTTCTTTTGGCTTAGGATTGACTTGATGATGCAGGCTCTTTTTTGATTCCACACAAACTTTAAAGTAGTTTTTTCCAATTCTATGAAGAAAGTGATTGATAGCTTGATGGGGATGGCATTGAATCTGTAAATTACCTTGGGCAGTATGGCCATTTTCAAGATATTGATTCTTCCTACCCATGAGCATGGAATATTCTTCCAGTTGTTTGTATCCTCTTTTATTTCCTTGAGCAGTGGTTTGTAGTTCTCCTTGAAGAGGTCCTTCACATCCCTTGTAAGTTGGATTCCTAGGTATTTTATTCCCTTTGAAGCAATTGTGAATGGGAGATCACTCATGATTTGGCTCTCTGTTTGTCTGTTATTGGTGTATAAGAATGCTTGTGATTTTTGTACATTGATTTTGTATCCTGAGACTTTGCTGAAGTTGGTTATCAGCTTAAAAAGATTTTGGGCTGAGACAATGGGGTTTTCTAGATATACAATCATGTCGTCTGCAAACAGGGACAATTTGACCTCCTATTTTCCTAATTGAATACCCTTTATTTCCTTCTCCTGTCTAATTGCCCTGGCCAGAACTTCCAACACTATGTTGAATAGGAGTGGTGAGAGAGGGCATCCCTGTCTTATGCCAGTTTTCAAAGGGAATGCTTTCAGTTTTTACCCATTCAATATGATATTGGCTGTGGGTTTGTTATAGATAGCTCTTATTATTTTGAAATACGTCCTCATAGCGCTTCAAATATCCACTTGCAGATTCTACAAAAAGAGGGTTTCAAAACTGCTCAATCAAAACGAAGGTTCAACACTCTGAGATGAATGCACACATCAAAAAGCAGTTTCTCAGAATGCTTCTGTATAGTTTTCTGAGAACATATTTCCCTTTCCACTATAGGCCTCACAGGGCTTCAAATATCCACTTTCAGATTCTATAAAAAGAGTGTTTCATAACTGGTCAATCAAAAGAAAGTTTCACCTCTGTGAGATGAATTCACACATCAGAAAGTAGTTTCTCAGAATGCTTCTGTGTAGTTTTTATGTGAAGATATTTCCTTTTCCACCATAGACTACAACGGGCTCCAAATATCCACTTGCAGATACTACAAAAAGAGAGTTTCAAAACTGCTCTATCAAAAGAAAGATTCAACTCTGTGAGTTGAATGCACACATCACAAAGAAGTTTCTCAGAATGCTTCTTTGTAGTTTTTATGTGGAGATATTTCCTTTTCCACCATTGGCCTCAAATTGTTCAAAATATCCACTTGCAGATGCTACAAGAGTGTTTCAAAACAGCTCAATCAAAATAAAAGTTCAACTCTGTGAGATGAATGCACACATCAAAAAGAAGTTTCTCAGAATGCTTCTGTGTAGTTTTTATGCGAAGATATTTCCTTTTCCACAATAGGCCTCAAAGCACTTCAAATATCTACTTGCAGATTCTTCAAAAAGAGTGTTTCAGAACTGCTCAATCAAAAGAAAGTTTCAATTCTGTGAGATGAATGCACACGTCACAAAGAAGTTTCTCAGAATGCTTCCGTGTAGTTTTTATTTGAAGATATTTCCTTTTCAAAAATAGGCCATAAACGGATCCAAATATCCACTTGCAGATTCTACAAAAAGAGAGATTCAAAACCGTGCAATCAAAAGATAGATTCAACTCTACGAGTCAAATTGACACATCACAAAGAAGTTTCTCAGAATGCTTCTGTGTAGTTTTTATGTGAAGATATTCCCTTTTCCAACATAGATCTCAAAGAGCTCTAAATATCCGCTTACAGATTCTACAAAAAGAGTGTTTCAAAACTGCTCAATCAAAAGAAAGATTGAACACTGTGAGATGAATGCACACATCACAAGGAAGTTTCTCAGAATGCTTCTGTGTAGTTTTTATATGAAGATATTTCCTTTTCCACCACAGGTCTCAAAGCGCTTCAAACATCCACTTGCAGATTCTATAAAAAAAGTTTCAAAAGCGCTCAATCGAAAGAAAGTTTCAACTCTGTAACATGAGTGTACACATCACAAAGATGTTTCTCAGAGTGCTTCTGTGTAGTTTTACTCTGAGGATATTTCTTTTTCCAAAATAGGCTGCAAAGGGCTCCAAATATCCAAATGCACATTCTACAAAAAGAGAGATTCAAAACTGTTCAATCAAAAGAAATATTCAACTCTGTGAGATGAATGCCCACATCTCAAAGAAGTTTCTCAGAGTGCTTCTGTGTAGTTTTTATGTGAAGATATTCCCTTTTCCACCATAGGCCTCAAAGTGCTGCAAATATATACTTGTAGATTCTACAAAAAGATAGATTAAAAAGTGCTCAATCCAAAGATAGGTTCAATTCTGCAAGATTAATGCACACATCTCAAAGAAGTTTCTCAGAATGCTTCTGTATATTGTTTATGTGAAGATATTTCCTTTTCCACAGTAGGCCTCAAAGGGCTCCAAAT
Organism: Homo sapiens; assembly: GCF_000001405.40. NCBI lineage: Eukaryota > Metazoa > Chordata > Mammalia > Primates > Hominidae > Homo > Homo sapiens. The sequence continues at coordinate 29,217,652 of NC_000020.11, read as the reverse complement.
ATACACTTGCAGATTCTACACAAAGAAAGTTTCAAAACCGCTCTATCAAAAGATAGTTTCAGTTCTGTGAGTTCAATGCACATATCGCAAAGAAGTTTCTAAGAGTACTTCTGTGTAGTTTTTATTTGAAGATATTTCCTTTTCTGAAATGGGCCACAAAAGGCTTCAAATAACCACTTGGAGATACTAAAAAAAGAGAGATTCAAAACTGCTAAATCAAACGATAGGTTCAACTATCGGAGTTGAATGTGCACATCACAAAGAAGTTTCTCAGAATGCTTCTGTGTAGTTTTTATGTGAAGATATTTCTTTTTCCACTATAGGGATCAAAGCACTCCAAATATACACTTGCAGATTCTACAGAAAGAGTGTTTCCAAACTGCTCAATAAAAAGAAAAGTTCAAATCTGTGAGATGAATGCACACATCACAAAGAAGTTTCTCAGAATGCTTCTATGTATTTATTATTATTATTATTATTATTATTATTATACCTTAAGTTTTAGGGTACATGTGCACAATGTGCAGGTTAGTTACATATGTATGCATGTGGCATGCTGGTGTGCAGCACCCATTGACTCGTCATTTAGCATTATGTATATCTCCTAAAGCTATCTCTACCCCCTCCCCCCACCCCACAACTGTTCCTAGAGTGTGATGTTCTCCTTCCTGTGTCCATGTGTTCTCATTGTTCAATTCCCACCTATGAGTGAGAATATGCAGTGTTTGGTTTTTTGTTCTTGTGATAGTTTACTGAGAATGATGATTTCCAGTTTCATCCATGTCCCTAAAAAGGACATGAACTCATCTTTTTTTATGGCTGCTTATTATTCCATGGTGTATATGTGCCGCATTTTCTTAATCCAGTCTATTATTTTTGGACATTTGAGTTGGTTCCAAGTCTTTGCTATTGTGAACAGTGCCACAATAAACATACATGTGCATGTGTCTTTATAGCAGCATGATTTATAGTCCTTTGGGTATATACCCAGTAATGGGATGGCCGGATCAAATGGTATTTCTAGTTTTAGATCCCTGAGGAATCGCCACACGGACTTCCACAATGGTTGAACTAGTTTACAGTCCCACCAACAGTGTAAATGTGTTCCTATTTCTCCACATGCTCTCCAGCACCTGTTGTTTCCTGACTTTTTAATGATCGCCATTCTAACTGGTGTGAGATGGTATCTCATTGTGTTTTTGATTTGCATTTCTCTGATGGCCAGTGATGGTGAGCATTTTTTCATGTGTTTTTTGGCTGTATAAATGTCTTCTTTTGAGAAGTATCTGTTCATGTCCTTCACCCACTTTTTGATGGGGTTGTTTGTTTTTTTCCTGTAAATTTGTTTGAGTTTATTGTAGATTCTGGATATTAGCCCTCTGTCAGATGAGTAGTTGTGAAAATTTTCTCCCATTTTGTAGGCTGCCTGTTCACCCTGAAGGTAGTTTCTTTTGCTGTGCAGAATATCTAGTTTAATTAGATCCCATATGTCAATTTTGGCTTTGTTTCCTTTGCTTTTGGTGCTTTAGACATGAAGTCTTTTCCTATGGTTATGTCCTGAATGGTAAAGCCTAGGTTTTCTTCCAGAGTTTTCATAGTTTTAGGTCTAACGTTTAAGTATTTAATCTATCTTGAATTAATTTTTGTATAAGCTGTAAGAAAGGGATCCAGTTTCAGCTTTCTACATATGGCTAACCATTTTTCCCAGTACCATTTATTAAATAGAAAATACTGTCCCCATTGCTTGTTTCTCTCAGGTTTGTCGAAAATCAGATAGTTGTAGACATGCGGCATTATTTCTGAGGGCTTTGTTATGTTCCATTGATCTATATCTCTGTTTTGGTAGCAGTACCATGCTTCTGTATAGTTTTTATGTGAAGTTAATACCTTTTCCAACTTAGGCCGAGAACGGCTCCAAATATCCACTTGCAGATGCTACAAAAAGAGAGTTTCAAAAGTGCTCTATCAAAATATAGGTTCAACTCTGTGAGTTGAATGCACACATCACAAAGAAGTTTCTCAGAATGCTTCTGTGTAGTTTTTATGTGAAGATATTTCCTTTACAACAATAGGCCTAAAAGTGCTCCAAATATCCACTTGCAGATTCTACAAAACCAGTATTTCAAAACTGCTCAATCAAAAGAGAGGTTGAACTCTGTGAGATGAATGCACACATCACTAAGAAGTTTCTCAGAATGCTTCTGTGTAGTTTTTCTGTGAAGATATTCCTTTTTCCACCATAGGCTTCAAAGGGCTCCAAATATCCACTTGGAGATTCTACAAAAAGAGAGTTTGAAAGCTGCTCTATCAAAAGGTAGTTTCAACTCTGTGAGTTGAATGCACACATCACAAAGTAGATTCTCAGAATGCTTCTGGGTAGTTTTTATGTGAAGATATTTCCTTTTCCACCATAGGCCCCAAAGAGCTCCATATATCCACTTGCAGATTCTACAAGAAGAGGGTTTCCAAACAGGTCAATCCAAAGAAAGGTTCAACTCTGTGACAGGAATGCACAGATCACAAAGAAGTTTCTCAGAATGTTTCTGTGTAGTTTTTATGTGAAGATATTTCCTTTTCAACAATAGGCCTTAAAGCACTCCAAATATCCACTTGCAGATTCTACAAAGAGTGTTTCCAAACTGCTCAATCAAAAGAGAGGTTGAACTCTGTGAGATGAATGCAAACATCACTAAAAAGTTTCTCAGAATGCTTCTGTGTAGTTTTTCTGTGTAGATATTCCTTTTTCCACCCCAGGCTTCAAAGGACTCCAAATATCCACCTGCAGATTCTACAAAAAGAGAGTTTCAAAGCTGCTCTGTCAAAAGGTAGGTTCAACTATGTGAGTTGAATGCACACATCACAAAGTAGATTGTCAGAATGCTTCTGGGTAGTTTTTATGTGAACATATTTCCTTTTCCACCATACGCCTCAAAGCGCTCCAAATATCCACTTGCAGATTCTACAAAAAGAGTGTTTCCAAACTGGTCAATCCAAAGAAAGGTTCAACTCTGTGACAAGAATGCACAGATCACAAAGAAGTTTCTCAGAATTCCTCTGTGTGGTTTTTATGTGAAGATAATTCCTTTTCCACCACAGGCCTCAAAGCGCTCCAAATATCCACATGCAGATTCTACAAAAAGAGTGTTTCCAAACTGGTCAATCCACAGAAAGGTTGAACTCCATGACAAGAATGCACTCATCACAAATAAGTTTCTCAGAATTCTTCTGTGTACTTTATATGTGAAGATATTTCCTTTTCCAAAATAGGCCTCAAGGAGCTACAAATATCCACCTACAGGTTCTACAAAAAGTCTGTTTCAAAACGACTCAATCAAAAGACATGTTCAACTCTCTGAGATGAAAGCACACATCACAATGAGGTTTCTCAGAATCCTTCTGTGTAGTTTCTATGTGAAGGTAATTCCTTTTCCACTATAGGCATCAAAGCGCTTCAAATATCCACTTTCAGATTCTATAAAAAGAGTATTTCAAAACTGCTCAATCAAAAGAAAGTTTAAACTCCGTGAGATGAATGCACACATCACAAAGAAGTTTCTCAGAATGCTTCTGTGTATTTTTTATGTGAAGATATTTCGTTTTCCACAATAGACCTTGATGTGATCCAAATATCCACTTGCAAATTCTACAAAAAGGGTGTTTCAAAACTGCTCAATCAAATGAAAGTTTCAACTTTATGAGATGCATGTACACATCGCAAGGAAGATTCTCAGAATGCTTCTGTGTAGTTTTTATGTGAAGATATTTCCTTTTCAAAAATAGGCCACAAAGTGCTGCAAATATCCACTTGCAAATTCTACAAAAAGAGAGATTCAAAACTGTTCAATCAAATGACAGGTTCAACTCTGTGAGTTGAATGCACACACCACACAGAAGATTCTCAGAATGCTTCTGTGTAGTTTTTATGTGAAGATATTTCCTTTTCCACCATAGGCCACAAAGGGTTCCAAACATCCACTTGCAGATTCTACAAAAAGACGGTTTCATAACTGCTCTATCAAAAGATAGGTTCAACTCTATGAGATGAATGTACACATCACAAAGAAGTTTCTCAGAATGCTTCTGTGTAGTTTTTATGTGAAGATATTTCTTTTCTGCCATAGGCCTCAAAGCACTACAAATATCCACTTGCAGTTTCTACAAAAAGAATGCTTCACAACTGCTCAATCAAAAGAAAGGTTCAACTCTGTGAGATGAATGCACACATCACAAAGAAGTTTCTCAGAATGCTTCTGTGTAGTTTTTATGTGAAGAAAATTCATTTTCCACAATAGGCCTCAAAACGCTTCATATATCCCCTTACCGATTCTACAAAAAGAGTGTTTCCAAACTACTCAATGAAAAGAGAGGTTCATCTCTGTGAGATGAATGCACACATCACAAAGCAGATTCCCACAATGCTTTTGTGCAGTTTTTATGTGAAGATATTTCCTTTTCCACCATTGGCCGCAAAAGGCTCCAAATGGCCACTTGCAGATTCTACAAAAAGAGTGTTTCAAGACTGCTCAATCAAATGAAATGTTCAACTCTGTGAGAAGAATGCATGCATCACAAGGAAGTTTCTCAGAATACTTCTGTGTAGTTTTTATAGGAAGATATTTCCTTTTCCACCATCTGTCACAAAAGCCTCTAAATAATCACTTGTAGATTCTACAAAGAGTTTCAAAACTGTTCTATGAAAACATAGGTTTAACTCTGTGAGTTGAATGCATACATCACAAAGCAGTTTCTCAGAATGCTTCTGTGTAGTTTTTATGTGAACATATTTCCTTTTCCACCATAGCCCTCAAAGGGCTGCAAATATCCACTTGCAGATTCTGCAAAAAGTGTGTTTCAAAACTGCTCTGTAAAAGGAATGTTTCAACTCTGTGAGATGAATGCACACAAAACAACGAAGTTTCTGAGAATGCTTCTGTGTTGTTTTTATGTGAAGATATTTCCTTTTCCATGGTACCCTCAAATCCTTCCAAATATCCACTTGTAGATTCTACAAAAAGAGTGTTTCAAAACTGCTAAATCAAATGAAATGTTAAATTCTGAGAGATGAATGCACACATCACAAAGAAGTTTCTTAGAATGCTTCTGTTGTGTTTTTCTGTGAAGTTACTTCCTTTTCCACCATAGTGCTCAGTGCGCTCCAGATACCCACTTGCAGATTCTACAGAAAGCGGGTTTCAAAACTGGTCCATCAAAAGAAAGTTTCAACTCTGTGAGATTAATGCACACATCAAAAAGAAGTTTCTCAGAATGCTTCTGTCTTGTTTTTATGTGAAGATATTTCCTTTTCCACAACAGTCTTCAAACCGCTCCAAATATTCATTTGCAGATACCACAAAAACACAGTTTCCAAACTGTGCAATCAAAAGAAAAGTTCAATTCTGTGAGTTAAATGCGCACAACACAAAGAACTTTCACAAAATTCTTCTGTGTAGTCTTTAGATAAGGTTATATCCTTTTCCACAATAGGCCTCAAAGCGCTCCAAATATCCACTTGCAGATTCTACAAAAAGAGTGTTTCAAAACTGCTAAATCAAATGAAAGGTTCAACTCTGAGAGATGAATGCACACATCACAAAGAAGTTTCTCAGAATGCTTCTGATATTTTTCTCTGTGAAGTTACTTCCTTTTTCACCATAGTGCTCAATGCGCTCCAAATACCCACTTGCAGATTCTACAAAAAGCTGGTTTCATAATGGACAATCAAAAGAAAGTTTCAACTCTGTGAGATGAATGCACACATCAAAAAGAAGTTTCTCAGAATACTTCTGTCTTGTTTTTATGTGAAGATATTTCCTTTTCCACAACAGTCCTCAAACCTCTCCAAATATTCATTTGCAGATACCACAAAAACAGTTTCCAAACTGTGCAATCAAAAGAAAAGTTCAATTCTGTGAGTTAAATGCACACAACACAAAAAACTTTCTCAGAATTCTTCAGTGTAGTTTTTAGATAAAGATATATCATTTTCCACAATAGGCCTCAAAGCACTCCAAATATGCACTTGCAGATTCTACAAAAAGAGTGTTTCAAAACTGTTCAATCAAAAGAAAGTTTCATCTCTGTGAAGTGAATGCACACATGACACAGAAGTTTCTCAGAATGTTTCTGCTAGATTTTATGTGAAGATATTTCTTTTCCCACCATAGGCCACAACGCGCTCCAAATATCCAATTGCAGATTCTACAAAAAGAGTGTTTCAAAACTGCTGAATCAAAAGTAAGGTTCAACTCTGTTAGTTGAATGCACACATCACAAGGAAGTTTCTCAGAATACTTCTGTGTATTTTTTAGGTGAAGATATTCCCTTTTCCACCATAGGCCCCAAATTGCTTCAAATATCCACTAGCAGATTATACAAAAAGTGTGTTTCAAAACTGTTCTATCAAAAGAAAGGTTGAAGCCTGGGAGTTCAAAGCACACATCACAAAGAAGATTCTCAGAATGCTTCTTTCTTGTATTTATATGAAGACATTTCCTTTTCCACCATAGGCCTGAAACTGCTCATAATATCCATTTGCAGATACAACAAAAAGAGTGTTTTAAAACTGCCGTATCTAAAGAAATATTCAGTTCGGTGAATTGAATGCACACATCACAAAGAAGTTTCTCAGAATACTTCTGTCTCGTTTTTATGTGAAGACATTTTCTTTTCCACTATAGGCCACAAATTGCTCCAAATATCCCCTTGCAGATTCTACAAAAAGAGTGTTACAAAACTGCTCAACCAAAAGAAAGTTTCAACTCTGTGAATTGAGTGCATTCATCACAAGGAAGTTTCTCAGAATGCTTCTGTCTAGCTTTTATGTGAAGATATTTCCTTTTCCACTATAGGCCTCAGTCCTCTCCAAATATCCATTTGCAGATACTACAAAAAGAGTGTTTCCAAACTGCTCAATCAAAAGGGAAGTTTAACCATGTGAGGTGAATGCACATATCGCAAAGATGTTTCTCAGAATGTTTCTCTCAAGTTTTCATGTGAAGATATTTCGTTTTCCACCGTAGGCCTCAAGGAGCTCCAAATATCCACAAACAGATACTTCAAAAAGACTGTTTCCAAACTGCTCAATCAAAAGAGCAGTTCAACTCTGTGAGTTGAATTCACACATCACAAAGAAGTTTCTCAGAATGCTTCTGTCGAGTTTTTATGTGTAGATACTTAGTTTTACACCATAGGCCACAAATGGTTCCAAATATCCACTTGCAGATCCTACAAAAAGATAGTTTCCAAACTGTTCAAGCAAAAGAGAGGTTCAAGTCTCTCAGTTGAATGCACACATCACAAACAAGTTTCTCAGAATGCTTCTGTCTAGTTTTTATATGATATTTCCTTTTCCACTATAGATGGTAAAGGGCTCCAAATATCCACTTGCAGAATCTACAAAAGGTGTGTTTCAAAACTGCTAAATTGAAAGAAAGGTTCAACCCTGTGAGATGACTGCTCACATCACAAAGAAGTTTCTCAGAATGCTTCTGTCCAGTTCTTTCATGAAGATATTTCCTTTTCTATCATGGGCCTCAAAGCATACAAAAGATCCACTTACAGATTGTACAGAAAGACTGTTTCCAAACTGCTCAATCAAAAGAAAGGTTCAACTCTGTGAGTTGAATGCACACATCACGAAGAAGCTTCTCAGAATGCTTCTGTCTAGTTTTTATGTGAAGATTTTTTTTCAAACCATAGGCATCAAAGTGCTCCAAATATCAACATGTAGATAGTACAAAAAGAGAGTTTCCAAACGGCTCAATCATAAGAGAGGTTCAATTCTGTGAGTTGAATGCACACATCACAAAGAAGTTTCTCAGCATGCTTCTGTCTAGTTTTTATGTGAAGATATTTCCTTTTCCACCATTGGCCTCAAAGCGTTCCAAATATGCACTTGCAGATTCTACAAAAAGAGTGTTTGAAAACTGCTCAATTAAAAGGAAGTTTCAAATCTGTGAGATGAATGCACACATCACAAAGTAGTTTCTCAGAAAGCTTCTGTCTAGTTTGTATGTAAAGACATTTCCTTTTCCACTAGAAGTCGTAAACTGTTGCAAGTATCCAATTGCAGATTCTACAGAAATAGGGTTTCATAACAGCTTAGTCAAAAGAAAGGTTCAATTCCGTTATTAGAATGCATACATCAAAAAGAAGTTTCTAAGAATGGTTTTGTCTAGTTTTTTTGTGAAGATATTTCCTTTTCCACATTAGGCCACAAATCCCTCCAAATATCCACTTGCAGATACTACAAAAAGAGTGTTTCAAAACTGCTCAAACAAAAGAAAGGTTCTAATGTGTGAGATGAATGCACACATCACAAAGTAGTTTCTCAGAATGCCTCTGTTTAATATTTATGTGAAGATATTTCCTTTTCCACCATAGGCTGCAAAGGGCTAAAAATATTCACTTGCAGATTCTACAAAAAGAGAGTTTCAAAACTACTCTATCAAAAGATAGGTTGAACTCTGTGAGTTGAATGCACACATCACAAAGTAGTTTCTCAGAATGCTTCTGTGAAGTTGTTATGTGAAGATACTTCCTTTTCCACCATAGGCCATAAAGGTCTCCAAATATCCACTTGCAGGTTCTAAAAACAGAGAGTTTCAAAACTGCTCTGTCAAAAGATAGGTTCAACTCTTTGAGTTGAATGCACACATCACAAAGAAGTTTCTCAGAATGCTTCTGTGTAGTTTTTATGTGAAGATATGTCCTTTTCCCCCATAGGCCACAAATGGCTCCAAATATCCACTTGCAGATTCTACCAAATAGAGTTTCAAAACTGCTCTATGAAAAGTTACATTGAACTCTGTGAGTTGAATGCACACATCACAAAAAGTTTCTGAGAATTCTTCTGTGTAGTTTTTATGTGAAGATATTTCCTTTTCCACCGTAGGCCTGAAACCGCTCCAAATATCCACTTGCATCTCCTACAAAAAGAGGGTTTAAAACTGCTCTATCAAAAGATAGGTTCAACCCTGCGAGGTGAATGGACACATCACAAAGAAGTTTCTCAGAATGCTTTGGTGTAGTTTTTATGTGAAGATATTTCCTTTTCCACCACAGGCCTCAAAGCTCTCCAAATATCCACATGCAGATTCTAGAAAAAGAGTGTTTCAAAACTGCTCAATCAAAAGAAAGTTTCAACTCTGTGAGATTAATGCACACATCACAAAGAAGTTTCTCAGAATTCCTCCGGGTAGTTTCTATGTGAAGATATTTCCTTTTCCAACATAGGCCACAAAGGGCTAAAAATACCCACTTGAAGATTCTACAAAAAGAGAGTTTCAAAACTGCTCTATCAAAAGATAGGTTCAACTCTGTGAGTGGAATGCACACATCACAAAGAAGTTTCTGAGAAAGTTTCAGTGTAATTTTTATGTGAAGATATTTCCTTTTCCACCATAGGCCACAAAGCGCTCCAAATATCCACTTGCAGAATATACAAACGAGTGTTTCAAAATTGCTAAATCAAAAGAAAGGTTCACCTCTGTGAGATGAATGCACACATCACAAAGAAGTTTCTCAGAATGCTTCTGTATAGTTTTTATATGAAGATCTTTCCTTTACCACAATAGGCCACAAAGGGCTCCAAAACTCCACTTGCAGATTCTATAGAAAGAGAATTTCAAAACTGCTCTATCAAAAGATAGGTTCAACTCTGTTACTTGAATGCACACATCACAAAGTAGTTTCTGAGAATGATGCTGTGTAGTTTTTATGTGAAGATATTTCCTTCTCCACCATAGCCCTCAAATCGCTCCAAATACCCACTTGCAGACCCTACAAAGGAGTGTTTCCAAACTTCTCAATAAAAAGAAAGGTTCAACTCTGTGGAATCAATGCACACATCACAAAGAAGTTTCTCAGAATGCTTCTTTGAAGTTTTAATATGAAGATATTTCCTTTTCCACCATAGGCCGCCAAGGGCTCCAAATATCCACTTGCAGATTCTACAAAAAGAGAGTATGAAAACTGCTCTATCAAAAGATGGGTTCAACTCTGCGAGTTGAATGCACACATCACAAAGAAGTTTCTCAGAATCCTTCTGTGTAGTTTTTATGTGAAGATATTTCCTTTTCCACCATAGGCCGCAAAGGGCTCCAAATATCCACTTGCAGATTCTACAAAAGGGAGTTTCAAAAGTGCTCTATCAAAAGAAATGTTCAACAATGTGAGATGAATGCAAGTATCACAAAGAAGTTTCTCAAAATTTTTCTTTTCAGTTTTTATGTGAAGATATTTCCTTTTCCACAATAGGTCTCAAAGTGCTCCAAGTATCCACATGCAGATTCTACAAAAAGAGTGTTTCCAAAATGCTCATTCAAAAGAAAGTTTGAACTCTGAGATGAATGCACACATCACAAAGAAGTTTCTGAGAATGCTTCTGTGTAGTTTTTATATGAAGATATTTCCTTTTGCACAATAGGCCTCAAAGCGATCCAAATATCCAATGGCAGTTTCTAGAAAAAGAGTGTTTCAAAACTCATCAATCAAATGAAATGTTCAACTCTGTGAGATAAATGTACACATCAAAAGGAAGTTTCCCATAATGCTTCCGTGTAGTTTTTATTGGAAGATATTTCCTTTTCCATTATCGGCCACAAAGGCCTCCAAATATCCCCTTTCAGATTCTACAAAAAGAGAATTCCAAAACTGCTCTATCAAAAGATAGGTTCAACTCTACGAGTTGAATGCAGACATCACAAAGAAGTTTCTCAGAATGCTTCTGTGTAGTTTTTATGGGAAGATATTCCCTTTTCCACCATGGGCCTCTAAGCCCTCCAAATATCCCCTTACAGATCCTACAAAAAGATATTTTCAAAACTGCTGAATCAAAAGAAAGGTTCAACTCTGTGACATGAATGCACACATCACAAAGAAGTTTCTCAGAGTGATTCTTTGTAGTTTTTATAGGAGGATATTTCCTTTTCCACTATAAGCCACAAAGGGCTCCAAATATCCACTTGCAGATTCTACAAAAACAGTTTCAAAACTGCTCTATAAAAAGATAGGTTCAACTCTGTGAGTTGAACGCACACATCACAAAGAAGTTCCTCAGAATGCTTCTGTGTAGTTTTTATGTGAGGATACTTCCTTTTCCACAATAGGCTTCAAAGGACTCCAAATGTCCACTTGCAGATTCTACAAAAAGAGTGTTTCAAAACAGCTCAATCAAAAGAAAGGTTCAACTCTGTGAGATGAATGCACACGTCACAAAGAAGGTTCTCAGAATAATTCTGTGTAGTTTTTATGGGAAGATATTTCCTTTTCCACCATCGGCCACAAAGAGCTCAAATTTCCACTTGTAGAGTCTACAAAAAGAGAGTTTCAAAACTGCTCATTCAAAAGATAGGTTCAACTCTGTGAGTTGAATGAACACAAAACAAAGAAGTTTTTCAGAATTCTTCTGTGTGGTTTTTATGTGATCATATTTCCTTTTCCAAGATAGGCATAAAACTCCAAATATCCTCTTGCAATTTCTACAAAAAGAGTGTTTCCATACTGCTCAATCAAAAGACAGGTTCAACTATGTGAGATGAATGCACATATGAAAAGGAAGTTTCTCAGAATGATTCTGTGTAGTTTTTATGTTAAGATATTTCCTCTTGCAACATAGGCCACAAAGGACTCCAAATATCCGCTTGCACATACTAGAAAAAGAGTTTTTCCAAACTGCTCAATAAAAAGAAAGCTTCATATCTGTGAGATGAATGCACACATCCCAAAGAAGTTTCTGAGAATGCTTCTGTGTAGATTTTATGTGAAGGTATTTCATTTTCCAGAACAGGGCTCAAAGTGCTACAAATATCCACTTGCAGATTCTACAAAAAGAGTGTTTCAAAACTCCTCAATCAAAGGAAGGTTAAACTCTGTGAGATGAATACACACATCACAAAGATGTTTCTCAGAATGCTTCTGTGTAGTTTTTATGTGAAGATATTTCCCTTTACCCCATAGGACTCAAAGCACTCCACACGTCCACTTGCAGATTCTACCAAAAGAGTGTTTCAAAACTGCTCAATGAAAAGTAAGGTTCAACTCTGTGAGATGAATGCACACATCACAAAGAAGTTTGTCAAAATGTTTCGATCTAGTTTTTATGTGAAGATATTTCCTTTTCCACCATAGGCCTCAAAGTGCTAAAAATATCCACTTGCAGATTCTACAAAAAGAGTGTTTCAAATCTGCTCAATCAAAAGAAACTTTCAACTCTGTGAGATGAATGCACACATCACAAAGTAGTCTGTCAGAATGCTTTTATCTGGTTTTTATGAGAAGATATTCCCTTTTCCACCATAGGCCTCAAAGCAGTCCTAATGTCCAGTAGCAGCTTCTACAAAAAGTGTATTTCAAAACTGCACAATGAAAAGTAAGTTTCAACTCTGTGAGATGAAAGCACACATCATGAAGAAGTTTGTCAGAATGCTTCTGTCTACTTTGTATTTGAAGATATTTTTTCTTTTCCACTTTAGACCTAAAAGCGCTCCAAATGTCCACTTGCAGATTCTACAAAAAGAGAGTTTCAAAGCTGCTCAATGAAAATAAAGTTTCAACTCTGTGAGATGAATGCACACATCACAAAAAAGTTTGTCAGAATGCATCTGTCTAGTTTTTATGTGAAGATACTTCCTTTTCCACCACAGCCCCCAAAGCACTCCAAATATCCACTTGCAGATTCTACAAAAAGAGTGTTTGCAAACTGCTCAATGAAAAGTAAGGTTCAAATCTGTGAGATGAATGCACACATCACAAAGAAGTTTGTCAGAATGCTTTGGTCTAGTTTTTATGTGAAGATATTTCCTTTTCCACCATAGGCCTCAAAGTGCGAAAAATGTCCATTGCAGATTCTACAGAAAGAGTGTTTCCAATCTGTTCAATGAAAT
>NC_000020.11:29165554-29204668 GCF_000001405.40 Homo sapiens | reverse complement strand
TCTGTGCAGTTTTTGTGTGAAGATATTTCATTTTCCACAGTACGCCTCAAAGCGCTCCAAATATCCACTCCGAGATTCTGTAAAAAGAGAGATTCAAAACTGCTGAATCAAAAGATAGGTTCAACACTGTGACTTCAGTGCACAACTCACAAAGATGTTTATAAGAATGCTTCTCTGTAGTTTTTATGTGAAGATATTTGTTTTTCCACAGCAGGCCCCAATGAACTCCAAATATCCACTTGCAGATTCTATAAAAAGAGTGTTTCAAAACTGCTCAATCAACAGAGACATTCAACTCTGTGAGATGAATGCACCCATCACAAAGAAGTTTCGCCGAATGCTTCTGCATAGTTTTTATGTGAAGATATTTCCTTCCCCACTATAGGCCTCAAAGGCTCCAAATATCCACTTGTAGATTCTAAAAAAATAGTGTTACAAAACTGCTGTATCACAAGAAAGATTCAACTCTGTGAGATGGATGCACAGATCACAAAGAAGTTTCTCATAAAGCTTCTGGGTAGTTTTTATTTGAAGATATTTCCCTTTCCACCATAGGCCTCAAATCACTCTAAATATCCACTTGCAGATTCTACAAAAAGAATGTTTCAAAACTGCTCAATCAAAAGAAAGGTTCTACTCTGTGAGATGAATGCACACATCACAAAGTAGTTTCTCAGAATGCTTCTGTGTAGTTTCTATTGAAGATATTTCCTTTTCCACTATAGGGCGAAATAGGGCTCCAAATATTCACTTGCAGATTCTACAAAAAGAGAGATTCTAAACTGCTCAATCAACAGATAGGTTCAACACTGTGAGTTGAATGCACACATCACAAATAAGTTTCGCAGAATGCTTCTGTATAGTTTTTATATGAAGATATCTCCTTCTCCAAAACAGAACTCAAAGCCCTCCAAATATTTACTTCCAGATTCTACGGAAAGATTGTCTCAAAACTGCTAAATCAAAACAAAGGTTCAACTCTGTGATGAATGCTCTCATCAGAAAGAAGTTTCTCTGAATGCTTCTGTGTAGTTTTTATGTGAAGATTTTTGATTTTCCACAGTAGGCCTCAAAGCGCTCCAAATATCCACTCACAGATTCTGCAAAAAGAGAGATTCAAATCTGCTGAATCAAAAGATAGGTTCAACTCTGTGACTTCAATGCACACCTCACAAAGGTGTTTCTCAGAAAGCTTCTGTGTAGTTTTTATGTGAAGATATTTCCTTTTCCACAATAGGGTGCAAAGAGCTCCAAATATCCACTTGCAGATTCTACCAAAAAAGAGATACAAAAGTTCTCAATGAAAAGATAAGTTCAACTCTGTGAGTTGAATGCATATCTCACAAAGAAGTTTCTCAAAATGCTTCTGCATAGTTTTTATGTGAAGATATTTCCTTCTACACTGTAGGCCTGAAAAGGCTCCAAATATCCATTTACAGATTCTAAAAAAGAGTGTTTCAAAACTGCTATGTCAATAGAAACATCCAACTCTGTGAGATGAATGCACAGATCACAAAGAAGTTTATCAGAATGCTTCTGGGTAGTTTTTAGTTGAAGAAATTTCCCTTTCCACAATAGGCCTCAAATCACTCTAAATATCCACTTGCAGATTCTACAAAAAGAGTGTTTCAAAACTGCTCAATCCAAAGAAAGGTTGTAACATGTGAGATGAATGCACGCATCACAGAGTAGTTTCTCAAAATGCTTCTGTGTAGTTTCTATTTGAAGATATTTCCTTTTCCAATATAGGGCAAAATAGGGCAACAAATATTCACTTGCAGATTCTGCAAAAAGGGAGATTCTAAACTGCTCAATCAACAGATACCTTCAACAATGTGATTTGAATGCACACATCGCAAATAAGTTTCACAGAATGCTTCTGTGTAGTTTTTATATGAAGATATCTCCTTCTCCAAAACAGAACTCAAAGCCCTCCAAATATTCACTTCCAGATTGTACGGAAAGATTGTGTCAAAACTGCTAAATCAAAACAAAGGTTCAACTCTGTGATGAATGCACTCATCAGAAAGAAGGTTCTCTGAATGCTTCTGTGTAGTTTTTGTGTGAAGACATTTCATTTTCCACAGTATGCCTCAAAGCGCTCCAAATATCCACTCTCAGATTCTGTAAAAAGAGAGATTCCAAACTGCTGAATCAAAAGATAGGTTCAACACTGTGACTTAGGTGCACAATTCACAAAGATGTTCCTCAGAAATCTTCTGTGTAGTTCTTATGTGAAGATATTTGTTTTTCCACAGTAGGCCCCAATGAGCTCCAAATATCCACTTGCAGATTCTTCAAAAAGAGTGTTTCAAAACTGCTCAATCAACAGAGACATTCAGTTCTGTGAGATGAATGCACACATCACAAAGAAGTTTCTCAGAATGCTTCTGCGTAGTTTTTATGTGAAGATATTTCCTTCTCCACTATAGGCCTCAAAAGGCTCCAAATATCCACTTGCAGATTCCAAAAAAATAGTGTTTCAAAACTGCTGTATCAAAAGAAAGATTCAACTCTGTGCGATGAATGCACAGATCACAAAGAAGTTTCTCAGAATGCTTCTGGGTAGTTTTTATTTGAAGATATTTCCCTTTCCACAATAGGCCGCAAATCGCTCTAAATATCCACTTGCAGATTCTACAAAAAGAGTGTTTCAAAACTGCTCAATCAAAAGAAAGGTTCTACTCTGTGAGATGAATACACACATCACAAAGTAGTTTCTCAGAATGCTTCTGTGTAGCTTCTATTTGAAGATATTTCCTTTTCCACTATAGGGCGAAATAGGGCTCCAAATATTCACTTGCAGATTCTACAAAAAGAGAGATTCTAATCTGCTCAATCAACAGATACTTTCAACATTGTTGGTTGAATGCACACATCACAAATAAGTTTCACAGAATGCTTCTGTATAGTTTTTATATGAAGATATCTCCTTCTCCAAAACAGAACTCAAAGCCCTCCAAATATTTACTTCCAGATTCTACGGAAAGATTGTCTCAAAACTGCTAAATCAAAACAAAGGTTCAACTCTGTGATGAATGCTCTCATCAGAAAGAAGTTTCTCTGAATGCTTCTGTGTAGTTTTTGTGTGAAGATAATCCATTTTCCACAGTGCGCCTCAAAGCGCTCCAAATATCCACTCGCAGATTCTGTAAAAAGAAAGATTCAAAACTGCTGAATCAAAAGATACGTTCAACAATGTGAGCTGAATGCACACATCACAAATAAGGTTGACAGAATGCTTCTGTGTAGTTTTTGTGTGAAGATATTTCATTTTCCACAGTGCGCCTCAAAGTGCTCCAAATATCCACTCTCAGATTCTGTAAAAAGAGAGACTCAAAACTGCTGAATCAAAAGATAGGTTCAACACTGTCACTTCAGTGCACAACTCACAAAGATGTTTCTCAGAATGCTTCTGCATAGTTTTTATGTGAAGATATTTCCTTCTACACTGTAGGCCTGAAAAGACTCCAAATATCCATTTACAGATTCTAAAAAAAGAGTGTTTCAAAACTGCTGTATCAATAGAAACATCCAACTCTGTGAGATGAATGCACAGATCACAAAGAAGTTTCTCAGAATGGTTCTGGGTAGTTTTTAGTTGAAGAAATTTCCCTTTCCACAATAAGCCTCAAATCACTCTAAATATGCACTTGCAGATTCTACAAAAAGAGTGTTTCAAAACTGCTCAATCCAAAGAAAGGTTGTACCCTGTGACATGAATGCACGCATCACAGAGTAGTTTCTCAGAATGCTTCTGTGTAGTTTCTATTTGAAGATATTTCCTTTTCCAATATAGGGCAAAATAGGGCCCCAAATATTCACTTGCAGATTCTACAAAAAGGGAGATTCTAAACTGCTCAATCAACAGACACCTTCAACAATGTGAGTTGAATGCACCCATCGCAAATAAGTTTCACAGAATGCTTCTGTGTAGTTTTTATATGAAGATATCTCCTTCTCCAAAACAGATCTTAAAGCCCTACAAATATTCACTTCCAGATCCTACGGAAAGATAGTCTCAAAACAGCTAAATCAAAACAAAGGTTCAACACTGTGATGAATGCACTCATCAGAAAGAAGGTTCTCTGAATGCTTTCTGTGTAGTTTTTGTGTGAAGATATTTCATTTTCCACAGTACGCCTCAAAGCGCTCCAAATATCCAGTCTCAGCCTCTGTAAAAAGAGAGATTCAAAACTGCTGAATCAAAAGATAGGTTCAATACAGGGACTTCAGTGCACACCTCACAAAGGTGTTTCTCAGAAATCTTCTGTGTAGTTTTTACGTGAAGATATATGTTTTTCCACAGTAGTCCCCAATGAGCTCCAAATATCCACTTGCAGATTCTACAAAAAGAGTGTTTCAAAACTGCTCAATCAACAGAGACATTCAACTCTGTGAGATGAATGAACCCATCACAAAGAAGTTTCTCAGAATGCTTCTGTGTAGTTTTTATGTGAAGATATTTGTTTTTCCACAGTAGGACCAAATGAGCTCCAAATATCCACTTCCACATTCTACAAAAAGAGTGTTTCAAAACTGTTCAATCAACAGAGACATTCAACTCTGTGACATGAATGCAGCCATCACAAAGAAGTTTCTCAGAATGCTTCTGCATAGTTTTTATGTGAAGATATTTCCTTCTCCACTATAGGCCTCAAAAGGCTCCAAACTTCCACTTGCAGATTCTAAAAAAAAGAGTGTTTCAAAAGTGCTCAATCAAAAGAAAGGTTCTACTCTGTGAGATGAATGCACAGATCACAAAGAAGTTTCTCATAAAGCTTCTGGGTAGTTTTTATTTGAAGAAATTTCCCTTTCCACAATAGGCCTCAAATTGCTCTAAATATCCACTTGCAGATTCTACAGAAAGAATGTTTCAAAACTGCTCAGTCAAAAGAAAGGTTGTACTCTGTGAGGTGAATGCACACATCACAAAGTAGTTTCTCAGAATGCTTCTGTGTAGCTTCTATTTGAAGATATTTCCTTTTCCACTATAGGGCGAAATAGGGCTCCAAATATTCACTTGCAGATTCTACAAAAAGAGAGATTCTAATCTGCTCAATCAACAGATACTTTCAACATTGTTGGTTGAATGCACACATCAGAAAGAAGTTTATCAGAATGCTTCTGTGTAGTTTTTATATGAAGATATCTCCTTCTCCAAAACAGAACTCAAAGCCCTCCAAATATTTACTTCCAGATTCTACAGAAAGATTGCCTCAAAACTGCTAAATCAAAACAAAGGTTCAACTCTGTGATGAGTGCACTCATCAGAAAGAAGGTTCCCTGAATGCTTCTGTGTAGTTTTTGTGTGAAGATATTTCATTTTCAACAGTACGCCTCAAAGCGCTCCAAATATCCACTCTCAGATTCTGTAAAAAGAGAGATTCAAAACTGCTGAATCAAAAGATACGTTCAACAACGTGACTTCAGTGCACAACTCACAAAGGTATTTCTCAGAATGCTTCTGTGTAGTTTTTATGAGAAGTTATTTGTTTTTCCACAGTAGGCCCCAATGAGCTCCAAATATCTACTTGCAGATTCTACAAAAAGAGTGTTTCAAAACTACTCAATCAACAGAGACATTCAACTCTGTGAGATGAATGCACACATCACAAATAAGTTTTGCCGAATGCTTCTGCATAGTTTTTATGTGAAGATATTTCCTTCTACACTGTAGGCCTGAAAAGACTCCAAATATCCATTTACAGATTCTAAAAAAAGAGTGTTTCAAAACTGCTGTATCAATAGAAACATCCAACTCTGTGAGATGAATGCACAGATCACAAAGAAGTTTCTCAGAATGCTTCTGGGTAGTTTTTAGTTGAAGAAATTTCCCTTTCCACAATAATCCTCAAATCACTCTAAATATCCACTTGCAGATTCTACAAAAAGAGTGTTTCAAAACTGCTCAATCCAAAGAAAGGTTATACCCTGTGAGATGAATGCACGCATCACAGAGTAGTTTCTCAGAATGCTTCTGTGTAGTTTCTATTTGAAGATATTTCCTTTTCCAATATAGGGCAAAATAGGGCCCCAAATATTCACTTGCAGATTCTACAAAAAGGGAGATTCTAAACTGCTCAATCAACAGATACCTTCAACAATGTGAGTTGAATGCACACATCGCAAATAAGTTTCACAGAATGCTTCTGTGTAGTTTTTATATGAAGATATCTCCTTCTCCAAAACAGATCTTAAAGCCCTACAAATATTCACTTCCAGATCCTACGGAAAGATTGTCTCAAAACAGCTAAATCAAAACAAAGGTTCAACACTGTGATGAATGCACTCATCAGAAAGAAGGTTCTCTGAATGCTTCTGTGTAGTTTTTGTGTGAAGACATTTCATTTTCCACAGTATGCCTCAAAGCACTCCAAATATCCACTCTCAGATTCTGTAAAAAGAGAGATTCCAAACTGCTGAATCAAAAGATAGGTTCAACACTGTGACTTAGGTGCACAATTCACAAAGATGGTCCTCAGAAATCTTCTGTGTAGTTTTTATGTGAAGATATTTGTTTTTCCACCGTAGTCCCCAATGAGCTCCAAATATCCACTTGCAGATTCTATAAAAAGAGTGTTTCAAAACTGCTCAATCAACAGAGACATTCAACTCTGTGAGATGAATGCACACATCACAAAGAAGTTTCTCAGAATGCTTCTGCATAGTTTTTATGTGAAGATATTTCCTTCTCCACTATAGGCCTCAAAAGGCTCCAAATATCCACTTGCGGATTCTAAAAAAAGAGTGCTTCTAAACTTCTGTATCAAAAGAATGATTCAACACTGTGAGATGAATGCACAGATCACAAAAAAGTTTCTCAGAATGCTTCTGCATAGTTTTTATGTGAAGATATTTCCTTCTCCACTATAGGTATCAAAAGGCTCCAAATATCCACTTGCAGATTCGAAAAAAAGACTGTTTCAAAACAGCTCAATCCAAAGAAAGGTTCTACTCTGTGAGATGAATGAACACATCATAAAGTAGTTTCTCAGAATGTTTCTGGGTAGTTTTTATTTGAAGAAATTTCCTTACCCAGAATAGGCCTCAAGTCGCTCTAAATATCCACTTGCAGATCCTACAAAAAGAGTGTGTCAAAACTGCTCAATCAAAAGAAAGGTTCTACACTGTGAGATGGATGCAAACATCAGAAAGTAGTTTCGCAGAATTCTTCTGTGTAGTTTCTATTTGAAGACATTTCCTTTTCCACTATAGGGTGAAATAAGGCTCCAAATATTCACTTGCAGATTCTACAAAAAGGGAGTTTCTAAACTGCTCAATCAACAGATACGTTCAACAATATGAGTTGAATGCACACATCACAAATAAGTTTCACAGAATGCTTCTGTACAGTTTTTATATTAAGATATCTCCTTCTCCAAAACACAACTCAAATCCCTACAAATATTCACTTCCAGATTCTACGGAATGATTGTCTCAAAACTACTAAATCAAAACAAAGGTTCAACTCTGTGATGAATGCACTCATCACAAAGAAGGTTCTCTGAATGCTTCTCTGTAGTTTTTGTGTGAAGATATTTCATTTTCCACAGTAAGCCCCAAAGCGCTCCAAATATCCACTCGCAGGTTCTGTAAAAAGAGAGATTCAAAACTGCTGAATCAAAAGATAGGTTCAACACTCTGACTTCAGCGCACACCTCACAAAAGAGTTTCTCAGAATGCTTCTGTGTAGTTTTTATGTGAAGATATTTGTTTTTCCACAGCAGGCCCCAATGAACTCCGAATATCCACTTGCAGATTCTATAAAAAGAGTGTTTCAAAACTGCTCAATCAACAGAGACATTCAACTCTGTGAGATGAATGCACACATCACAAAGAAGTTTCTCAGAATGCTTCTGCATAGTTTTTATGTGAAGATATTTCCTTCCCCACTATAGGCCTCAAAGGCTCCAAATATCCACTTGTAGATTCTAAAAAAATAGTGTTTCAAAACTGCTGTATCAAAAGAAAGATTCAACTCTGTGAGATGGATGCACAGATCACAAAGAAGTTTCTCATAAAGCTTCTGGGTAGTTTTTATTTGAAGAAATTTCCCTTTCCACAATAGGCCTCAAATTGCTCTAAATATCCACTTGCAGATTCTACAGAAAGAATGTTTCAAAACTGCTCAGTCAAAAGAAAGGTTGTACTCTGTGAGGTGAATGCACACTTCACAAAGTAGTTTCTCAGAATGCTTCTGTGTAGCTTCTATTTGAAGATATTTCCTTTTCCACTATAGGGCGAAATAGGGCTCCAAATATTCACTTGCAGATTCTACAAAAAGAGAGATTCTAATCTGCTCAATCAACAGATACTTTCAACATTTTTGGTTGAATGCACACATCACAAATAAGTTTCACAGAATGCTTCTGTATAGTTTTTATATGAAGATATCTCCTTCTCCAAAACAGAACTCAAAGCCCTCCAAATATTTACTTGCAGATTCTACGGAAAGATTGTCTCAAAACTGCTAAATCAAAACAAAGGTTCAACTCTGTGATGAATGCACTCATCAGAAAGAAGGTTCTCTGAATGCTTCTGTGTAGTTTTTGTGTGAAGATATTTCATTTTCCACAGCACACCTCAAAGCGCTCCAAATATCCACTCTCAGATTCTGTAAAAAGAGAGATTCAAAACTGCTGAATCAAAAGATAGGTTCAACACTGTCACTTCAGTGCACAACTCACAAAGATGTTTCTCAGAATGCTTCTGTGTAGTGTTTATGTGAAGATATTTGATTTTCCACAGTAGGCCCCAATGAGCTCCAAATATCCACTTGCAGATTCCACAAAAAGAGTGTCAAAACTGCTCAATCAACAGAGACATTCAACTCTGTGAGATGAATGCACCAATCACAAAGAAGTTTCTCAGAATGCTTCTGCATAGTTTTTATGTGAAGATATTTCCTTCCCCACTATAGGCCTCAAAGGCTCCAAATATCCACTTGTAGATTCTAAAAAAATAGTGTTTCAAAACTGCTGTATCAATAGAAACATCCAACTCTGTGAGATGAATGCACAGATCACAAAGAAGTTTCTCAGAATGGTTCTGGGTAGTTTTTAGTTGAAGAAATTTCCCTTTCCACAATAGGCCTCAAATCACTCTAAATATCCACTTGCAGATTCTACAAAAAGAGTGTTTCAAAACTGCTCAATCCAAAGAAAGGTTGTACCCTGTGAGATGAATGCACGCAACACAGAGTAGTTTCTCAGAATGCTTCTATGTAGTTTTTATTTGAAGGTATTTCCTTTACCACCATAGGTTGCAAGGGGCTCCAAATATCCACTTGCAGATTCTACAAAAAGAGAGATTCTAAACTGCTCAATCAACAGATACCTTCAACAATGTGAGATGAATGCACACATCACAAATAAGTTTCACAGAATGCTTCAGTGTAGTTTTTATGTGAAGACATTAGCTTGTCCACGGAAGGTCTCAAAGCGCTCCAAATATCCACTTGCAGATTCTACAAAATGAGTGTTTCAAAACTGCTCAATCATTAGATAGGTTCAACCCTGTGAGATGAATGCACACATAACAAAGAAGTTTTTCAGAATGCTTCTGTGTAGTTTTTGTGTGAAGATATTTCATTTTGCACAGTACGCCTCAAAGCGCTCCAAATATCCACTCGCAGGTTCTGTAAAAAGAGAGATTCAAAACTGCTGAATCAAAAGATAGGTTCAACACTGTGACTTCAGTGCACAACTCACAAAGGTGTTTCTCAGAAATCTTCTGTGTAGTTTTTATGTGAAGATATTTGTTTTTCCACAGTAGGCCCCAATGAGCTCCAAATATCCACTTGCAGATTCTACAAAAAGAGTGTTTCAAAACTGCTCAATCAACAGAGACATTCAACTCTGTGAGATGAATGCACCCATCACAAAGAAGTTTCTCAGAATGCTTCTGCATAGTTTTTATGTGAAGATATTTCCTTCTCCACTATAGGCCTCAAAAGGCTCCAAATATCCACTTGCGGATTCTAAAAAAAGAGTGCTTCTAAACTTCTGTATCAAAAGAATGATTCAACACTGTGAGATGAATGCACAGATCACAAAAAAGTTTCTCAGAATGCTTCTGCATAGTTTTTCTGTGAAGATATTTCCTTCTCCACTATAGGCCTGAAAAGGCACCAAATATCCACTTGCAGATTCTAAAAAAAGAGTGTTTCAAAAGTGCTCAATCAAAAGAAAGGTTCTACTCTGTGAGATGAATGCACACATCACAAAGTAGTTTCTCAGAATGCTTCTGTGTAGTTTTTATGTGAAGACATTTGTTTTTCCACAGTAGGCACCAATGAGCTCGAAATATCCACTTGCAGATTCTACAAAAAGCGTGTTTCAAAACTGCTCAATCCATAGAAAGGTTCTACTCTGTGAGGTGAATGCACACATCACAAAGTAGTTTCTCAGAATGCTTCTGCATAGTTTTTATGTGAAGATATTTCCTTCTCCACTATAGGCCTCAAAAGGCTCCAAATATCCACTTGCAGATTCTAAAAAAATAGTGTTTCACAACTGCTGAATCAAAAGGAAGATTCGACTCTGTGAGGTGAATGCACAGATCACAAAGAAGTTTCTCAGAATGCTTCTGTACAGTTTTTATATGAAGATATCTCCTTCTCCAAAACACAACTCAAATCCCTACAAATATTCACTTCCAGATTCTACGGAATGATTGTCTCAAAACTGCTAAATCAAAACAAAGGTTCAACTCTGTGATGAATGCACTCATCAGAAAGAAGGTTCTCTGAATGCTTCTGTGCAGTTTTTGTGTGAAGATATTGCATTTTCCACAGTACGCCTCAAAGCGCTCCAAATATCCACTCGCAGGTTCTGTAAAAAGAGAGATTCAAAAGTGGTGAATCAAAAGATAGGTTCAACACTGTGACTTCAGTGCACAACTCACAAAGGTGTTTATCAGAAATCTTCTGTGTAGTTTTTATGTGAAGATATTTGTTTTTCCAAAGCAGGCCCCAAAGAGCTCCAAATATCCACTTGCAGATTCTACAAAAAGAGTGTTTCAAAACTGCTCAATTAGCAGAGACATTCAACTCTGTGAGATGAATACACCCATCACAAAGAAGTTTCTCAGAATGCTTCTGCATACTTTTTATGTGAAGATGTTTCCTTCTCCACTATAGGCCTGAAAATGCCCCAAATATCCACCTGCAGATACTAAAAAAAGAGTGTTTCAAAACTGCTGTATCAAAAGGAAGATTCAACTCTGTGTGATGAATGCACAGATCACAAAGGAGTTTCTCAGAATGCTTCTGGGTAGTTTTAATTTGAAGAAATTTCCCTTTCCACAAAAGGCCTCAAATCGCTCTAAATATCCCCTTACAGATTCTACAAAAAGAGTGTTTCAAAACTGCTCAATCCAAAGAAAGGTTCTACTCTGTGAGATGAATGCACACATCACAAAGTAGTTTCTCACAATGCTTCTGTGTAGTTTCTATTTGAAGATA
Source organism: Homo sapiens (assembly GCF_000001405.40). Classification (NCBI taxonomy): domain Eukaryota; kingdom Metazoa; phylum Chordata; class Mammalia; order Primates; family Hominidae; genus Homo; species Homo sapiens. Next base: position 29,193,201 of record NC_000020.11, on the reverse strand, counting down.
TTTCCTTTTCCACTCTAGGGCGAAATAGGGTTCCAAATATTCACTTGCAGATTCTACAAAAAGAGAGATTCTAAACTGCTCAATCAACAGATACGTTCAACAATGTGAGTTGAAAGCACACATCACAAATAAGTTTCACAGAATGCTTCTGTGTAGTTTTTATATGAAGATATCCCTTTATCCAAAACAGAACTCAAAGCCCTCCAAATATTCACTTCCAGTTTCTACGGAAAGATTGTCTCAAAACTGCTAAATGAAAACAAAGGTTCAAATCTGTGATGAATGCACTCATCAGAAAGAAGGTTCTCTGAATGCTTCTGTGTAGTTTTTGTGTGAAGATAATTCATTTTCCACAGTACGCCTCAAAGCGCTCCAAATATCCACTCGCAGATTCTGTAAAAAGAAAGATTCAAAACTGCTGAATCAAAAGATACGTTCAACAATGTGAGCTGAATGCACACATCACAAATAAGGTTGACAGAATGCTTCTGTGTAGTTTTTGTGTGAAGATATTTCATTTTCCACAGTACGCCTCAAAGCGCTCCAAATATCCACTCTCAGATTCTGTAAAAAGAGAGATTCAAAACTGCTGAATCAAAAGATAGGTTCAACACTGTCACTTCAGTGCACAACTCACAAAGATGTTTCTCAGAATGCTTCTGTATAGTTTTTATGTGAAGATATTTGATTTTCCACATTAGGCCCCAATGAGCTCCAAATATCCACTTGCAGATTCCACAAAAAGAGTGTTTCAAAACTGCTCAATCAAGAGAGACATTCAACTCTGTGAGATGAATGCACACATCACAAAGAAGTTTCTCAGAATGCTTCTGCATAGTTTTTATGTGAAGATATTTCCTTCTACACTGTAGGCCTGAAAAGGCTCCAAATATCCATTTACAGATTCTAAAAAAGAGTGTTTCAAAACTGCTATATCAATAGAAACATCCAACTCTGTGAGATGAATGCACAGATCACAAAGAAGTTTTTCAGAATGCTTCTGGGTAGTTTTTAGTTGAAGAAATTTCCCTTTCCACAATAGGCCTCAAATCACTCTAAATATCCACTTGCAGATTCTACAAAAAGAGTGTTTCAAAACTGCTCAATCCAAAGAAAGGTTGTACCCTGTGAGATGAATGCACGCATCACAAAGTAGTTTCTCAGAATGCTTCTGTGTAGCTTCTATTTGAAGATATTTCCTTTTCCAATATAGGGCAAAATAGGGCCCCAAATATTCACTTGCAGATACTACAAAAAGGGAGATTCTAAACTGCTCAATCAACAGATACCTTCAACAATGTGAGTTGAATGCACACATCGCAAATAAGTTTCACAGAATGCTTCTGTGTAGTTTTTATATGAAGATATCTCCTCCTCCAAAACAGATCTCAAAGCCCTCCAAATATTCACTTCCAGATTGTACGGAAAGATTGTGTCAAAACTGCTAAATCAAAACAAAGGTTCAACTCTGTGATGAATGCACTCATCAGAAAGAAGGTTCTCTGAATGCTTCTGTGTAGTTTTTGTGTGAAGACATTTCATTTTCCACAGTATGCCTCAAAGCGCTCCAAATATCCACTCTCAGATTCTGTAAAAAGTGAGATTCCAAACTGCTGAATCAAAAGATAGGTTCAACACTGTGACTTAGGTGCACAATTCACAAAGATGTTCCTCAGAAATCTTCTGTGTAGTTTTTATGTGAAGATATATGTTTTTCCACAGTAGTCCCCAATGAGCTCCAAATATCCACTTGCAGATTCTACAAAAACAGTGTTTCAAAACTGCTCAATCAACAGATACATTCAACTCTGTGAGATGAATGAACCCATCACAAAGAAGTTTCTCAGAATGCTTCTGCATAGTTTTTATGTGAAGATATTTCCTTCTCCACTATAGGCCTCAAAAGGCTCCAAATATCCACTTGCAGATTCTGAAAAAAGAGTGTTTCAAAACTGCTGTGTCAAAAGAAAGATTCAACTCTGTTAGATGAATGCACAGATCACAAAGAAGTTTCTCAGGTTGCTTCTGCATAGTTTTTATGTGAAGATATTTCCTTCTCCACTATAGGTCTCAAAAGGCTCCAAATATCCACTTGCAGATTCGAAAAAAAGACTGTTTCAAAACAGCTCAATCCAAAGAAAGGTTCTACTCTGTGAGATGAATGAACACATCATAAAGTAGTTTCTCAGAATGCTTCTGGGTAGTTTTTATTTGAAGAAATTTCCCTACCCAGAATAGGCCTCAAGTCGCTCTAAATATCCACTTGCAGATCCTACAAAAAGAGTGTGTCAAAACTGCTCAATCAAAAGAAAGGTTCTACTCTGTGAGATGGATGCAAACATCAGAAAGTAGTTTCACAGAATTCTTCTGTGTAGTTTCTATTTGAAGATATTTCCTTTTCCACTCTAGGGCGAAATAGGGCTCCAAATATTCACTTGCAGATTCTACGAAAAGAGAGATTCTAAACTGCTCAATCAACAGATACGTTCAACAACTTGAGTTGAATGCACACATCACAAATAAGTTTCACAGAATGCTTCTGTGTAGTTTTTATATGAAGATATCTCCTTCTCCAAAACAGAACTCAAAGCCCTCCAAATATTCACTTCCAGATTGTACGGAAAGATTGTGTCAAAACTGCTAAATCAAAACAAAGGTTCAACTCTGTGATGAATGCACTCATCAGAAAGAAGGTTCTCTGAATGCTTCTGTGTAGTTTTTGTGTGAAGATATTTCATTTTCCACAGTACGCCTCAAAGCGCTCCAAATATCCACTCGCAGGTTCTGTAAAAAGAGAGATTCAAAACTGCTGAATCGAAAGATAGGTTCAACACTGTGACTTCAGTGCACAACTCACAAAGGTGTTTCTCAGAAATCTTCTGTGTAGTTTTTATGTGAAGATATTTGTTTTTCCACAGCAGGCCCCAATGAACTCCAAATATCCACTTGCAGATTCTATAAAAAGAGTGTTTCAAAACTGCTCAATCAACAGAGACATTCAACTCTGTGAGATGAATGCACACATCACAAAGAAGTTTCTCAGAATGCTTCTGCATAGTTTTTATGTGAAGATATTTCCTTCCCCACTATAGGCCTCAAAGGCTCCAAATATCCACTTGTAGATTCTAAAAAAATAGTGTTTCAAAACTGCTGTATCAAAAGAAAGATTCAACTCTGTGAGATGGATGCACAGATCACAAAGAAGTTTCTCATAAAGCTTCTGGGTAGTTTTTATTTGAAGAAATTTCCCTTTCCACAATAGACCTCAAATCGCTCTAAATATCCACAAGCAGATTCTAAAAAAAGAGAGTTTCAAAACTGCTCAATCAAAAGAAAGTTTCTAATCTGTGAGATGAATTCACACATCACAAAGTAGTTTCTCAGAATGCTTCTGTGTAGCTTCTATTTGAAGATATTTCCTTTTCCACTATAGGGCGAAATAGGGCTCCAAATATTCACTTGCAGATTCTACAAAAAGAGAGATTCTAATCTGCTCAATCAACAGATACTTTCAACATTGTTGGTTGAATGCACACATCACAAATAAGTTTCACAGAATGCTTCTGTGTAGTTTGTATATGAAGATATCTCCTTCTCCAAAACAGAACTCAAAGCCCTCCAAATATTTACTTCCAGATTCTACAGAAAGATTGCCTCAAAACTGCTAAATCAAAACAAAGGTTCAACTCTGTGATGAATGCGCTCATCAGAAAGAAGGTTCTCTGAATGCTTCTGTGTAGTTTTTGTGTGAAGATAATCCATTTTCCACAGTGCGCCTCAAAGCGCTCCAAATATCCACTCGCAGATTCTGTAAAAAGAAAGATTCAAAACTGCTGAATCAAAAGATACGTTCAACAATGTGAGCTGAATGCACACATCACAAATAAGGTTGACAGAATGCTTCTGTGTAGTTTTTATGAGAAGTTATCTGTTTTTCCACAGTAGGCCCCAATGAGCTCCAAATATCCACTTGCAGATTCTACAAAAAGAGTGTTTCAAAACTGCTCAATCAACAGAGACATTCAACTCTGTGAGATGAATGCACACATCACAAACAAGTTTTGCCGAATGCTTCTGCATAGTTTTTATGTGAAGATATTTCCTTCTACACTGTAGGCCTGAAAAGACTCCAAATATCCATTTACAGATTCTAAAAAAAGAGTGTTTCAAAACTGCTGTATCAATAGAAACATCCAACTCTGTGAGATGAATGCATAGATCACAAAGAAGTTTCTCAGAATGCTTCTGGGTAGTTTTTAGTTGAAGAAATTTCCCTTTCCACAATAATCCTCAAATCACTCTAAATATCCACTTGCAGATTCTACAAAAAGAGTGTTTCAAAACTGCTCAATCCAAAGAAAGGTTATACCCTGTGAGATGAATGCACGCATCACAGAGTAGTTTCTCAGAATGCTTCTGTGTAGTTTCTATTTGAAGATATTTCCTTTTCCAATATAGGGCAAAATAGGGCCCCAAATATTCACTTGCAGATTCTACAAAAAGAGAGATTCTAAACTACTCAATGAACAGATACCTTCAACAATGTGAGTTGAATGCACACATCGCAAATTAGTTTCACAGAATGCTTCTGTGTAGTTTTTATATGAAGATATCTCCTCCTCCAAAACAGATCTCAAAGCCCTCCAAATATTCACTTCCAGATTGTACGGAAAGATTGTGTCAAAACTGCTAAATCAAAACAAAGGTTCAAATCTGTGATGAATGCACTCATCAGAAAGAAGGTTCTCTGAATGCTTCTGTGTAGTTTTTGTGTGAAGACATTTCATTTTCCACAGTATGCCTCAAAGCGCTCCAAATATCCACTCTCAGATTCTGTAAAAAGAGAGATTCCAAACTGCTGAATCAAAAGATAGGTTCAACACTGTGACTTAGGTGCACAATTCACAAAGATGTTCCTCAGAAATCTTCTGTGTAGTTTTTATGTGAAGATATTTGTTTTTCCACAGTAGTCCCCAATGAGCTCCAAATATCCACTTGCAGATTCTACAAAAAGAGTGTTTCAAAACTGCTCAATCAACAGAGACATTCAACTCTGTGAGATGAATGCACCCATCACAAAGAAGTTTCTCAGAATGCTTCTGCATAGTTTTTAAGTGAAGATATTTCCTTCTCCACTATAGGCCTCAAAAGGCTCCAAATATCCACTTGCGGATTCTAAAAAAAGAGTGCTTCTAAACTTCTGTATCAAAAGAATGATTCAACACTGTGAGATGAATGCACAGATCACAAAGAAGTTTCTCAGAATGCTTCTGCATAGTTTTTATGTGAAGATATTTCCTTCTCCACTATAGTCCTGAAAAGGCTCCAAATATCCACTTGCAGATTCTAAAAAAAGACTGTTTCAATACTGCTCAATCCAAAGAAAGATTCTATTCTGTGAGATGAATGCACGGATCACAAAGAAGTCTCTCAGAATGCTTCTGGGAAGTTTTTATTTGAAGAAATTTCCCTTTCCACAATAGGCCTCAAGTCGCTCTAAATATCCACTTGCAGATTCTACAAAAAGAGTTCTTCAAAACTGCTCAATCCAAAGAAAGGTTCTACTCTGTGGGATGAATGCACGCATCACAAAGTAGTTTCTGAGAATGCTTCTGTGTAGTTTCTATTTGAAGATATTTCCTTTTCCACTCTAGGGCGAAATAGGGCTCCAAATATTCACTTGCAGATTCTACAAAAAGAGAGATTCTAATCTGCTCAATCAACAGATACGTTCAACATTGTGAGTTGAATGCACACATCAGAAATAAGTTTCACAGAATGCTTCTATGTAGTTTTCATATGAAGATATCTCCATCTCCAAAATAGAACTCAAAGCCCTCCAAATATTCACTTCCAGATTCTACGGAAAGATCGTCTCAAAACTGCTCAGTCAAAACAAGGGTTCAATTCTGTGATATGAATGCACACGTCACAGAGAAGTTTCTCAAAATGCTTCTGTGTAGTTTTTGTGTGAAGATATTTCATTTTCAACAGTACGCCTCAAAGCGCTCCAAATATCCACTCTCAGATTCTGTAAAAAGAGAGATTCAAAACTGCTGAATCAAAAGATACGTTCAACAACGTGACTTCAGTACACAACTCACAAAGATGTTTCTCAGAATGCTTCTGTGTAGTTTTTATGAGAAGTTATTTGTTTTTCCACAGTAGGCCCCAATGAGCTCCAAATATCCACTTGCAGATTCTACAAAAAGAGTGTTTCAAAACTGCTCAATCAACAGAGACATTCAACTCTGTGAGATGAATGCACACATCACAAAGAAGTTTTGCCGAATGCTTCTGCATAGTTTTTATGTGAAGATATTTCCTTCTACACTGTAGGCCTGAAAAGGCTCCAAATATCCATTTACAGATTCTAAAAAAAAAGTGTTTCAAAACTGCTATATCAATAGAAACATGCAACTCTGTGAGATGAATGCACAGATCACAAAGAAGTTTCTCAGAATGCTTCTGGGTAGTTTTTAGTTGAAGAAATTTCCCTTTCCACAATAGGCCTCAAATCACTCTAAATATCCACTTGCAGATTCTACAAAAAGAGTGTTTCAAAACTGCTCAATCCAAAGAAAGGTTGTAACCTGTGAGATGAATGCACGCATCACAGAGTAGTTTCTCAGAATGCTTCTATGTAGTTTTTATTTGAAGGTATTTCCTTTACCACCATAGGTTGCAAGGGGCTCCAAATATCCACTTGCAGATTCTACAAAAAGAGAGATTCTAAACTGCTCAATCAACAGATACCTTCAACAATGTGAGATGAATGCACACATCACAAATAAGTTTCACAGAATGCTTCTGTGTAGTTTTTATATGAAGATATCTCCTCCTCCAAAACAGATCTCAAAGCCCTCCAAATATTCACTTCCAGATTGTACGGAAAGATTGTGTCAAAACGGCTAAATCAAAACAAAGGTTCAACTCTGTGATGAATGCACTCATCAGAAAGAAGGTTCTCTGAATGCTTCTGTGTAGTTTTTGTGTGAAGACATTTCATTTTCCACAGTATGCCTCAAAGCGCTCCAAATATCCACTCTCAGATTCTGTAAAAAGAGAGATTCCAAACTGCTGAATCAAAAGATAGGTTCAACACTGTGACTTAGGTGCACAATTCACAAAGATGTTCCTCAGAAATCTTCTGTGTAGTTTTTATGTGAAGATATTTGTTTTTCCACCGTAGTCCCCAATGAGCTCCAAATATCCACTTGCAGATTCTACAAAAAGAGTGTTTCAAAACTGCTCAATCAACAGAGACATTCAACTCTGTGAGATGAATGCACCCATCACAAAGAAGTTTCTCAGAATGCTTCTGCATAGTTTTTAAGTGAAGATATTTCCTTCTCCACTATAGGCCTCAAAAGGCTCCAAATATCCACTTGCGGATTCTAAAAAAAGAGTGCTTCTAAACTTCTGTATCAAAAGAATGATTCAACACTGTGAGATGAATGCACAGATCACAAAGAAGTTTCTCAGAATGCTTCTGCATAGTTCTTATGTGAAGATATTTCCTTCTCCACTATAGGTCTCAAAAGGCTCCAAATATCCACTTGCAGATTCGAAAAAAAGACTGTTTCAAAACAGCTCAATCCAAAGAAAGGTTCTACTCTGTGAGATGAATGAACACATCATAAAGTAGTTTCTCAGAATGCTTCTGGGTAGTTTTTATTTGAAGAAATTTCCTTACCCAGAATAGGCCTCAAGTCGCTCTAAATATCCACTTGCAGATCCTGCAAAAAGAGTGTGTCAAAACTGCTCAATCAAAAGAAAGGTTCTACACTGTGAGATGGATGCAAACATCAGAAAGTAGTTTCGCAGAATTCTTCTGTGTAGTTTCTATTTGAAGATATTTCCTTTTCCAATATAGGGCGAAATAGGGCTCCAAATATTCAATTGCAGATTCTACAAAAAGAGAGATTCTCAACTGCTCAATCAACAGATACCGTTCAACAATGTGAGTTGAATGCAAACATCACAAATAAGTTTCACAGAATGCTTCTGTACAGTTTTTATATGAAGATATCTCCTTCTCCAAAACACAACTCAAATCCCTACAAATATTCACTTCCAGATTCTACGGAATGATTGTCTCAAAACTACTAAATCAAAACAAAGGTTCAACTCTGTGATGAATGCACTCATCAGAAAGAAGGTTCTCTGAATGCTTCTGTGCAGTTTTTGTGTGAAGATATTGCATTTTCCACAGTACGCCTCAAAGCGCTCCAAATATCCACTCGCAGGTTCTGTAAAAAGAGAGATTCAAAACTGGTGAATCAAAAGATAGGTTCAACACTGTGACTTCAGTGCACAACTCACAAAGGTGTTTATCAGAAATCTTCTGTGTAGTTTTTATGTGAAGATATTTGTTTTTCCACAGCAGGCCCCAATGAACTCCAAATATCCACTTGCAGATTCTATTAAAAGAGTGTTTCAAAACTGTTCAATCAACACAGACATTCAACTCTGTGAGATGAATGCACCCATCACAAAGAAGTTTCGCCGAATGCTTCTGCATAGTTTTTATGTGAAGATATTTCCTTCCCCACTATAGGCCTCAAAGGCTCCAAATATCCACTTGTAGATTCTAAAAAAATAGTGTTTCAAAACTGCTGTATCAAAAGAAAGATTCAACTCTGTGAGATGGATGCACAGATCACAAAGAAGTTTCTCATAAAGCTTCTGGGTAGTTTTTATTTGAAGAAATTTCCCTTTCCACAATAGGCCTCAAATTGCTCTAAATATCCACTTGCAGATTCTACAGAAAGAATGTTTCAAAGCTGCTCAGTCAAAAGAAAGGTTGTACTCTGTGAGGTGAATGCACACATCACAAAGTAGTTTCTCAGAATGCTTCTGTGTAGTTTTTGTGTGAAGATAATTCATTTTCCACAGTACGCCTCAAAGCGCTCCAAATATCCACTCACAGATTCTGTAAAAAGAAAGATTCAAAACTGCTGAATCAAAAGATACGTTCAACAATGTGAGCTGAATGCACACATCACAAATAAGGTTGACAGAATGCTTCTGTGTAGTTTTTATATGAAGATATCTCCTTCTCCAAAACAGAATTCAAAGCCCTCCAAATATTTACTTCCAGATTCTACAGAAAGATTGCCTCAAAACTGCTAAATCAAAACAAAGGTTCAACTCTGTGATGAATGCACTCATCAGAAATTAGGTTCCCTGAATGCTTCTGTGTAGTTTTTATGTGAAGATATTTGATTTTCCACAGTACGCCTCAAAGTGCTCCAAATATCCACTCGCAGATTCTGCAAAAAGAGAGATTCAAAACTGCTGAATCAAAAGATAGGTTCAACAATGTGACTTCAGTGCACACCTCACAAAGATGTTTCTCAGAATGCTTCTGTGTAGTTTTTATGTGAAGATATTTGTTTTTCCACAGTAGGCCCCAATGAGCTCCAAATATCCACTTGCAGATTCTACAAAAAGAGTGTTTCAAAACTGCTCAATCAACAGAGACATTCAACTCTGTGAGATGAATGCACACCTCACAAAGAAGTTTCTGAGAATGCTTCTGCATAGTTTTTATGTGAAGATATTTCCTTCTACACTGTAGGCCTGAAAAGGCTCCAAATATCCATTTACAGATTCTAAAAAAAGAGTGTTTCAAAACTGCTATATCAATAGAAACATCCAACTCTGTGAGATGAATGCACAGATCACAAAGAAGTTTCTCAGAATGCTTCTGGGTAGTTTTTAGTTGAAGAAATTTCCCTTTCCACAATAGGCCTCAAATCACTCTAAATATCCACTTGCAGATTCTACAAAAAGAGTGTTTCAAAACTGCTCAATCCAAAGAAAGGTTGTACCCTGTGAGATGAATGCACGCGTCACAGAGTAGTTTCTCAGAATGCTTCTGTGTAGTTTCTATTTGAAGATATTTCCTTTTCCAATATAGGGCAAAATAGGGCCCCAAATATTCACTTGCAGATTCTACAAAAAGAGAGATTCTAAACTACTCAATCAACAGATACCTTCAACAATGTAAGTTGAATGCACACATCGCAAATAAGTTTCACAGAATGCTTCTGTGTAGTTTTTATATGAAGATATCTCCTCCTCCAAAACAGATCTCAAAGCCCTCCAAATATTCACTTCCAGATTGTACGGAAAGATTGTGTCAAAACGGCTAAATCAAAACAAAGGTTCAACTCTGTGGTGAATGCACTCATCAGAAAGAAGGTTCTCTGAATGCTTCTGTGTAGTTTTTGTGTGAAGACATTTCATTTTCCACAGTATGCCTCAAAGCGCTCCAAATATCCACTCTCAGATTCTGTAAAAAGAGAGATTCCAAACTGCTGAATCAAAAGATAGGTTCAACACTGTGACTTAGGTGCACAATTCAAAAAGATGTTCCTCAGAAATCTTCTGTGTAGTTTTTATGTGAAGATATTTGTTTTTCCACAGTAGTCCCCAATGAGCTCCAAATATCCGCTTGCAGATTCTACAAAAAGAGTGTTTCAAAACTGCTCAATCAACAGAGACATTCAACTCTGTGAGATGAATGCACCCATCACAAAGAAGTTTCTCAGAATGCTTCTGCATAGTATTTATGTGAAGATATTTCCTTCTCCACTATAGGCCTCAAAAGGCTCCAAATATCCACTTGCGGATTCTAAAAAAAGAGTGCTTCTAAACTTCTGTATCAAAAGAATGATTCAACACTGTGAGATGAATGCACAGATCACAAAGAAGTTTCTCAGAATGCTTCTGCATAGTTTTTATGTGAAGATATTTCCTTCTCCACTATAGGTCTCAAAAGGCTCCAAATATCCACTTGCAGATTCGAAAAAAAGACTGTTTCAACACAGCTCAATCCAAAGAAAGGTTCTACTCTGTGAGATGAATGAACACATCATAAAGTAGTTTCTCAGAATGCTTCTGGGTAGTTTTTACTTGAAGAAATTTCCCTACCCAGAATAGGCCTCAAGTCGCTCTAAATATCCACTTGCAGATCCTACAAAAAGAGTGTGTCAAAACTGCTCAATCAAAAGAAGGTTCTACTCTGTGAGATGGATGCAAACATCAGAAAGTAGTTTCGCAGAATTCTTCTGTGTAGTTTCTATTTGAAGATATTTCCTTTTCCACTCTAGGGCGAAGTAGGGCTCCAAATATTCACTTGCAGATTCTACAAAAGGAGAGATTCTAATCTGCTCAATCAACGGATACGTTCAACATTGTGAGTTGAATGCACACATCACAAATAAGTTTCACAGAATGCTTCTGTGTAGTTTTTATATGAAGATATCTCCTTCTCCAAAACAGAACTCAAAGCCCTCCAAATATTCACTTCCAGATTGTACGGAAAGATTGTGTCAAAACTGCTAAATCAAAACAAAGGTTCAACTCTGTGATGAATGCACTCATCAGAAAGAAGGTTCTCTGAATGCTTCTGTGTAGTTTTTGTGTGAAGATATTTCATTTTGCACAGTACGCCTCAAAGCGCTCCAAATATCCACTCGCAGGTTCTGTAAAAAGAGAGATTCAAAACTGCTGAATCAAAAGATAGGTTCAACACTGTGACTTCAGTGCACAACTCACAAAGGTGTTTCTCAGAAATCTTCTGTGTAGTTTCTATGTGAAGATATTTGTTTTTCCACAGCAGGCCCCAATGAACTCCAAATATCCACTTGCAGATTCTATAAAAAGAGTGTTTCAAAACTGCTCAATCAACAGAGACATTCAACTCTGTGAGATGAATGCACACATCACAAAGAAGTTTCTCAGAATGCTTCTGCATAGTTTTTATGTGAAGATAATTCCTTCTCCACTATAGGCCTCAAAAGGCTCCAAATATCCACTTGTAGATCCTAAAAAAATAGTGTTTCAAAACTGCTGTATCAAAAGAAAGATTCAACTCTGTGAGATGGATGCACAGATCACAAAGAAGTTTCTCATAAAGCTTCTGGGTAGTTTTTAGTTGAAGAAATTTCCCTTTCCACAATAGGCCTCAAATCGCTCTAAATATCCACTTGCAGATTCTAAAAAAAGAGTGTTTCAAAACTGCTCAATCCAAAGAAAGGTACTACTACTGTGAGATGAATGCACACATCACAAAGTAGTTTGTCAGAATGCTTCTGTGTAGCTTCTATTTGAAGATATTTCCTTTTCCACTATAGGGCGAAATAGGGCTCCAAATATTCACTTGCAGATTCTACAAAAAGAGAGATTCTAATCTGCTCAATCAACAGATACTTTCAACATTGTTGGTTGAATGCACACATCACAAATAAGTTTCACAGAATGCTTCTGTATAGTTTTTATATGAAGATATCTCCTTCTCCAAAACAGAACTCAAAGCCCTCCAAATATTTACTTCCAGATTCTACGGAAAGATTGTCTCAAAACTGCTAAATCAAAACAAAGGTTCAACTCTGTGATGAATGCTCTCATCAGAAAGAAGTTTCTCTGAATGCTTCTGTGTAGTTTTTGTGTGAAGATATTTCATTTTCAACAGTATGCCTCAAAGCGCTCCAAATATCCACTCTCAGATTCTGTAAAAAGAGAGATTCAAAACTGCTGAATCAAAAGATACGTTCAACAACGTGACTTCAGTGCACAACTCACAAAGGTGTTTCTCAGAATGCTTCTGTGTAGTTTTTATGAGAAGTTATTTGTTTTTCCACAGTAGGCCCCAATGAGCTCCAAATATCTACTTGCAGATTCTACAAAAAGAGTGTTTCAAAACTACTCAATCAACAGAGACATTCAACTCTGTGAGATGAATGCACACATCACAAATAAGTTTTGCCGAATGCTTCTGCATAGTTTTTATGTGAAGATATTTCCTTCTACACTGTAGGCCTGAAAAGACTCCAAATATCCGTTTACAGATTCTAAAAAAAGAGTGTTTCAAAACTGCTGTATCAATAGAAACATCCAACTCTGTGAGATGAATGCACAGATCACAAAGAAGTTTCTCAGAATGCTTCTGGGTAGTTTTTAGTTGAAGAAATTTCCCTTTACACAATAGGCCTCAAATCACTCTAAATATCCACTTGCAGATTCTACAAAAAGAGTGTTTCAAAACTGCTCAATCCAAAGAAAGGTTGTACCCTGTGAGATGAATGCACGCATCACAGAGTAGTTTCTCAGAATGCTTCTGTGTAGTTTCTATTTGAAGATATTTCCTTTTCCAATATAGGGCAAAATAGGGCCCCAAATATTCACTTGCAGATTCTACAAAAAGGGAGATTCTAAACTGCTCAATCAACAGATACCTTCAACAATGTGAGTTGAATGCACACATCGCAAATAAGTTTCACAGAATGCTTCTGTGTAGTTTTTATATGAAGATATCTCCTCCTCCAAAACAGATCTCAAAGCCCTCCAAATATTCACTTCCAGATTGTACGGAAAGATTGTGTCAAAACTGCTAAATCAAAACAAAGGTTCAACTCTGTGATGAATGCACTCATCAGAAAGAAGGTTCTCTGAATGCTTCTGTGTAGTTTTTGTGTGAAGACATTTCATTTTCCACAGTATGCCTCAAAGCGCTCCAAATATCCACTCTCAGATTCTGTAAAAACAGAGATTCCAACTGCTGAATCAAAAGATAGGTTCAACACTGTGACTTAGGTGCACAATTCACAAAGATGTTCCTCAGAAATCTTCTGTGTAGTTTTTATGTGAAGATATTTGTTTTTCCACAGTAGTCCCCAATGAGCTCCAAATATCCACTTGCAGATTCTACAAAAAGAGTGTTTCAAAACTGCTCAATCAACAGAGACATTCAACTCTGTGAGATGAATGCACCCATCACAAAGAAGTTTCTCAGAATGCTTCTGCATAGTTTTTATGTGAAGATATTTCCTTCTCCACTATAGGCCTCAAAAGGCTCCAAATATCCACTTGCGGATTCTAAAAAAAGAGTGCTTCTAAACTTCTGTATCAAAAGAATGATTCAACACTGTGAGATGAATGCACAGATCACAAAAAAGTTTCTCAGAATGCTTCTGCATAGTTTTTATGTGAAGATATTTCCTTCTCCACCATAGGCCTCAAAAGGCTCCAAATATCCACTTGCAGATTCTAAAAAAAGAGTGTTTCAAAACTGCTCAATCCAAAGAAAGGTTCTACTCTGTGAGATGAATGCACACATCACAAAGTAGTTTCTCAGAATGCTTCTGGGTAGTTTTTATTTGAAGAAATTTCCTTACCCAGAATAGGCCTCAAGTCGCTCTAAATATCCACTTGCAGATCCTACAAAAAGAGTGTGTCAAAACTGCTCAATCAAAAGAAAGGTTCTACACTGTGAGATGGATGCAAACATCAGAAAGTAGTTTCGCAGAATTCTTCTGTGTGGTTTCTATTTGAAGATATTTCCTTTTCCACTCTAGGGCGAAATAGGGCTCCAAATATTCACTTGCAGAATCTACAAAAAGAGAGATTCTAAACTGCTCAATCAACAGATACGTTCAACAATGTGAGTTGAATGCACACATCACAAATAAGTTTCACAGAATGCTTCTGTACAGTTTTTATATGAAGATATCTCCTTCTCCAAAACACAACTCAAATCCCTACAAATATTCACTTCCAGATTCTACGGAATGATTGTCTCAAAACTACTAAATCAAAACAAAGGTTCAACTCTGTGATGAATGCACTCATCAGAAAGAAGGTTCTCTGAATGCTTCTGTGTAGTTTTTTTGTGAAGATATTTCATTTTCCACAGTATGCCTCAAAGCGATCCAAATATCCACTCGCAGGTTCTGTAAAAAGAGAGATTCAAAACTGCTGAACCAAAAGATAGGTTCAACAATGTGACTTCAGTGCACACCTCACAAAGGTGTTTCTCAGAAATCTTCTGTGTAGTTTTTATGTGAAGATATTTGTTTTTCCACAGCAGGCCCCAATGAACTCCAAATATCCACTTGCAGATTCTATAAAAAGAGTGTTTCAAAACTGCTCAATCAACAGAGACATTCAACTCTGTGAGATGAATGCACCCATCACAAAGAAGTTTCGCCGATGCTTCTGCATAGTTTTTATGTGAAGATGTTTCCTTCTCCACTATAGGCCTCAAAAGGCTCCAAATATCCACTTGTAGATCCTAAAAAAATAGTGTTTCAAAACTGCTGTATCAAAAGAAAGATTCAACTCTGTGAGATGGATGCACAGATCACAAAGAAGTTTCTCATAAAGCTTCTGGGTAGTTTTTATTTGAAGAAATTTCCCTTTCCACAATAGGCCTCAAATCGCTCTAAATATCCACTTGCAGATTCTAAAAAAAGAGTGTTTCAAAACTGCTCAATCCAAAGAAAGGTACTACTCTGTGAGATGAATGCACACATCACAAAGTAGTTTGTCAGAATGCTTCTGTGTAGCTTCTATTTGAAGATATTTCCTTTTCCACTATAGGGCGAAATAGGGCTCCAAATATTCACTTGCAGATTCTACAAAAAGAGAGATTCTAATCTGCTCAATCAACAGATACTTTCAACATTGTTGGTTGAATGCACACATCACAAATAAGTTTCACAGAATGCTTCTATGTAGTTTTCACATGAAGATATCTCCATCTCCAAAATAGAACTCAAAGCCCTCCAAATATTCACTTCCAGGTTATATGGAAAGATTGTCTCAAAACTGCTCAGTCAAAATAAAGGTTCAACTCTGTGAGATGAATGCACACGTCACAAAGAAGTTTCTCAGAATACTTCTGTGTAGTTTTTGTGTGAAGATATTTCATTTTCCACAGTACGCCTCAAAACGCTCCAAATATCCACTCTCAGATTCTGTAAAAAGAGAGATTCAAAACTGCTGAATCAAAAGATAGGTTCAACACTGTCACTTCAGTGCACAACTCACAAAGATGTTTCTCAGAATGCTTCTGTGTAGTTTTTATGTGAAGATATTTGATTTTCCACAGTAGGCCCCAATGAGCTCCAAATATCCACTTGCAGATTCCACAAAAAGAGTGTTTCAAAACTGCTCAATCAACAGAGACATTCAACTCTGTGAGATGAATGCAGACATCACAAAGAAGTTTCTCAGAATGCTTCTGCATAGTTTTTATGTGAAGATATTTCCTTCTACACTGTAGGCCTGAAAAGGCTCCAAATATCCATTTACAGATTCTAAAAAAAAAGTGTTTCAAAACTGCTATATCAATAGAAACATGCAACTCTGTGAGATGAATGCACAGATCACAAAGAAGTTTCTCAGAATGCTTCTGGGTAGTTTTTAGTTGAAGAAATTTCCCTTTCCACAATAGGCCTCAAATCACTCTAAATATCCACTTGCAGATTCTACAAAAAGAGTGTTTCAAAACTGCTCAATCCAAAGAAAGGTTGTACCCTGTGAGATGAATGCACGCATCACAAAGTAGTTTCTCAGAATGCTTCTGTGTAGTTTCTATTTGAAGATATTTCCTTTTCCAATATAGGGCAAAATAGGGCCCCAAATATTCACTTGCAGATTCTACAAAAAGGGAGATTCTAAACTGCTCAATCAACAGATACCTTCAACAATGTGAGTTGAATGCACACATCGCAAATAAGTTTCACAGAATGCTTCTGTGTAGTTTTTATATGAAGATATCTCCTTCTCCAAAACAGAACTCAAAGCCCTCCAAATATTCACTTCCAGATTGTACGGAAAGATTGTGTCAAAACTGCTAAATCAAAACAAAGGTTCAACTCTGTGATGAATGCACTCATCAGAAAGAAGGTTCTCTGAATGCTTCTGTGTAGTTTTTGTGTGAAGATATTTCATTTTGCACAGTACGCCTCAAAGCGCTCCAAATATCCACTCTCAGATTCTGTAAAAAGAGAGATTCAAAACTGCTGAATCAAAAGATAGGTTCAACACTGTCACTTCAGTGCACAACTCACAAAGATGTTTCTCAGAATGCTTCTGTGTAGTTTTTATGTGAAGATATTTGATTTTCCACAGTAGGCCCCAATGAGCTCCAAATATCCACTTGCAGATTCCACAAAAAGAGTGTTTCAAAACTGCTCAATCAACAGAGACATTCAACTCTGTGAGATGAATGCACACATCACAAAGAAGTTTCTCAGAATGCTTCTGCATAGTTTTTATGTGAAGATATTTCCTTCTCCACTATAGGCCTCAAAAGGCTCCAAATATCCACTTGCGGATTCTAAAAAAAGAGTGCTTCTAAACTTCTGTATCAAAAGAAAGATTCAACACTGTGAGATGAATGCACAGATCACAAAGAAGTTTTCTCAGAATGCTTCTGCATAGTTTTTATGTGAAGATATTTCCTTCTCCACTATAGGTCTCAAAAGGCTCCAAATATCCACTTGCAGATTCGAAAAAAAGACTGTTTCAAAACAGCTCAATCCAAAGAAAGGTTCTACTCTGTGAGATGAATGAACACATCATAAAGTAGTTTCTCAGAATGCTTCTGGGTAGTTTTTATTTGAAGAAATTTCCTTACCCAGAATAGGCCTCAAGTCGCTCTAAATATCCACTTGCAGATCCTACAAAAAGAGTGTGTCAAAACTGCTCAATCAAAAGAAAGGTTCTACACTGTGAGATGGATGCAAACATCAGAAAGTAGTTTCGCAGAATTCTTCTGTGTAGTTTCTATTTGAAGACATTTCCTTTTCCACTATAGGGTGAAATAGGGCTCCAAATATTCACTTGCAGATTCTACAAAAAGGGAGTTTCTAAAGTGCTCAATCAACAGATACGTTCAACAATATGAGTTGAATGCACACATCACAAATAAGTTTCACAGAATGCTTCTGTACAGTTTTTATATGAAGATATCTCCTTCTCCAAAACACAACTCAAATCCCTACAAATATTCACTTCCAGATTCTACGGAATGATTGTCTCAAAACTACTAAATCAAAACAAAGGTTCAACTCTGTGATGAATGCACTCATCAGAAAGAAGGTTCTCTGAATGCTTCTGTGCAGTTTTTGTGTGAAGATATTTCATTTTCCACAGTACGCCTCAAAGCGCTCCAAATATCCACTCCCAGATTCTGTAAAAAGAGAGATTCAAAACTGCTGAATCAAAAGATAGGTTCAACACTGTGACTTCAGTGCACAACTCACAAAGATGTTTATAAGAATGCTTTCTGTGTAGTTTTTATGTGAAGATATTTGTTTTTCCACAGCAGGCCCCAATGAACTCCAAATATCCACTTGCAGATTCTATAAAAAGAGTGTTTCAAAACTGCTCAATCAACAGAGACATTCAACTCTGTGAGATGAATGCCCCCATCACAAAGAAGTTTCGCCGAATGCTTCTGCATAGTTTTTATGTGAAGATATTTCCTTCCCCACTATAGGCCTCAAAGGCTCCAAATATCCACTTGTAGATTCTAAAAAAATAGTGTTTCAAAACTGCTGTATCAAAAGAAAGATTCAACTCTGTGAGATGGATGCACAGATCACAAAGAAGTTTCTCATAAAGCTTCTGGGTAGTTTTTATTTGAAGAAATTTCCCTTTCCACAATAGGCCTCAAATTGCTCTAAATATCCACTTGCAGATTCTACAGAAAGAATGTTTCAAAACTGCTCAGTCAAAAGAAAGGTTGTACTCTGTGAGGTGAATGCACACTTCACAAAGTAGTTTCTCAGAATGCTTCTGTGTAGCTTCTATTTGAAGATATTTCCTTTTCCACTATAGGGCGAAATAGGGCTCCAAATATTCACTTGCAGATTCTACAAAAAGAGAGATTCTAATCTGCTCAATCAACAGATACTTTCAACATTGTTGGTTGAATGCACACATCAGAAAGAAGTTTATCAGAATGCTTCTGTGTAGTTTTTATATGAAGATATCTCCTTATCCAAAACAGAACTCAAAGCCCTCCAAATATTCACTTCCAGTTTCTACGGAAAGATTATCTCAAAACTGCTAAATGAAAACAAAGGTTCAAATCTGTGATGAATGCACTCATCAGAAAGAAGGTTCTCTGAATGCTTCTGTGTAGTTTTTATGTGAAGATATTTGATTTTCCACAGTACGCCTCAAAGCGCTCCAAATATCCACTCGCAGATTCTGCAAAAAGATAGATTCAAAACTGCTGAATCAAAAGATAGGTTCAACAATGTGACTTCAGTGCACACCTCACACAGATGTTTCTCAGAATGCTTCTTTGTAGTTTTTATGTGAAGATATTTGTTTTTCCACAGTAGGCCCCAATGAGCTCCAAATATCCACTTTCAGATTCTACAAAAAGAGTGTTTCAAAACTGCTCAATCAACAGAGACATTCAACTCTGTGAGATGAATGCACACATCACAAAGAAGTTTCTCAGAATGCTTCTGCGTAGTTTTTATGTGAAGATATTTCCTTCTCCACTATAGGCCTCAAAAGGCTCCAAATATCCACCTACAGATTCTAAAAAAATAGTGTTTCAAAACTGCTGTATCAAAAGAAAGATTCAACTCAGTGAGATTAATGCACAGATCACAAAGAAGTTTCTCAGAATGCTTCTGGGTAGTTTTTATTTGAAGATATTTCTCTTTCCACAATAAGCCTCAAATTGCTCTAAATATCCACTTTCAGATTCTACAAAAAGAGTGTTTCAAAACTGCTCAATCAAAAGAAAGGTTCTACTCTGTGAGATGAATGCACACATCACAAAGTAGTTTCTCAGAATGCTTCTGTGTAGTTTCTATTTGAAGATATTTCCTTTTCCACTATAGGGTGAAATAGGGCTCCAAATATTCACTTGCAGATTCTATAAAAAGAGAGATTCTAAACTGCTCAATCAACAGATAGGTTCAACACTGTGAGTTGAATGCACACATCACAAATAAGTTTCTCAGAATGCTTCTGTATAGTTTTTATATGAAGATATCTCCTTCTCCAAAACAGAACTCAAAGCCCTCCAAATATTTACTTCCAGATTCTACGGAAAGATTGTCTCAAAACTGCTAAATCAAAACAAAGGTTCAACTCTGTGATGAATGCTCTCATCAGAAAGAAGTTTCTCTGAATGCTTCTGTGTAGTTTTTGTGTGAAGATATTTCATTTTCAACAGTACGCCTCAAAGCGCTCCAAATATCCACTCTCAGATTCTGTAAAAAGAGAGATTCAAAACTGCTGAATCAAAAGATACGTTCAACAACGTGACTTCAGTGCACAACTCACAAAGGTGTTTCTCAGAATGCTTCTGTGTAGTTTTTATGAGAAGTTATTTGTTTTTCCACAGTAGGCCCCAATGAGCTCCAAATATCTACTTGCAGATTCTACAAAAAGAGTGTTTCAAAACTACTCAATCAACAGAGACATTCAACTCTGTGAGATGAATGCACACATCACAAATAAGTTTTGCCGAATGCTTCTGCATAGTTTTTATGTGAAGATATTTCCTTCTACACTGTAGGCCTGAAAAGACTCCAAATATCCATTTACAGATTCTAAAAAAAGAGTGTTTCAAAACTGCTGTATCAATAGAAACATCCAACTCTGTGAGATGAATGCACAGATCACAAAGAAGTTTCTCAGAATGCTTCTGGGTAGTTTTTATTTGAAGAAATTTCCCTTTCCACAATAGGCCTCAAATCACTCTAAATATCCACTTGCAGATTCTACAAAAAGAGTGTTTCAAAACTGCTCAATCCAAAGAAAGGTTGTACCCTGTGAGATGAATGCACACATCACAAAGTAGTTTCTCAGAATGCTTCTGTGTAGTTTCTATTTGAAGATATTTCCTTTTCCAATATAGGGCAAAATAGGGTCCCAAATATTCACTTGCAGATTCTACAAAAAGAGAGATTCTAAACTACTCAATCAACAGATACCTTCAACAATGTGAGTTGAATGCACACATCGCAAATAAGTTTCACAGAATGCTTCTGTGTAGTTTTTATATGAAGATATCTCCTCCTCCAAAACAGATCTCAAAGCCCTCCAAATATTCACTTCCAGATTGTACAGAAAGATTGTGTCAAAACTGCTAAATCAAAACAGAGGTTCAACTCTGTGATGAATGCACTCATCAGAAAGAAGGTTCTCTGAATGCTTCTGTGTAGTTTTTGTGTGAAGACATTTCATTTTCCACAGTATGCCTCAAAGCGCTCCAAATATCCACTCTCAGATTCTGTAAAAAGAGAGATTCCAAACTGCTGAATCAAAAGATAGGTTCAACACTGTGACTTAGGTGCACAATTCACAAAGATGTTCCTCAGAAATCTTCTGTGTAGTTTTTATGTGAAGATATTTGTTTTTCCACAGTAGTCCCCAATGAGCTCCAAATATCCACTTGCAGATTCTACAAAAAGAGTGTTTCAAAACTGCTCAATCAACAGAGACATTCAACTCTGTGAGATGAATGCACCCATCACAAAGAAGTTTCTCAGAATGCTTCTGCATAGTTTATATGTGAAGATATTTCCTTCTCCACTTTAGGCCTCAAAAGGCTCCAAATACCCACTTGCGGATTCTAAAAAAAGAGTGCTTCTAAACTTCTGTATCAAAAGAATGATTCAACACTGTGAGATGAATGCACAGATCACAAAGAAGTTTCTCAGAATGCTTCTGCATAGTTCTTATGTGAAGATATTTCCTTCTCCACTATAGGTCTCAAAAGGCTCCAAATATCCACTTGCAGATTCGAAAAAAAGACTGTTTCAAAACAGCTCAATCCAAAGAAAGGTTCTACTCTCTGAGATGAATGAACACATCATAAAGTAGTTTCTCAGAATGCTTCTGGGTAGTTTTTATTTGAAGAAATTTCCCTACCCAGCTCAGGCCTCAAGTCGCTCTAAATATCCACTTGCAGATCCTACAAAAAGAGTGTGTCAAAACTGCTCAATCAAAAGAAAGGTTCTACTCTGTGAGATGGATGCAAACATCAGAAAGTAGTTTCGCAGAATTCTTCTGTGTAGTTTCTATTTGAAGATATTTCCTTTTCCAATATAGGGCGAAATAGGGCTCCAAATATTCAATTGCAGATTCTACAAAAAGAGAGATTCTCAACTGCTCAATCAACAGATACGTTCAACAATGTGAGTTGAATGCAAACATCACAAATAAGTTTCACAGAATGCTTTCTGTACAGTTTTTATATGAAGATATCTCCTTCTCCAAAACACAACTCAAATCCCTACAAATATTCACTTCCAGATTCTACGGAATGATTGTCTCAAAACTACTAAATCAAAACAAAGGTTCAACTCTGTGATGAATGCACTCATCAGAAAGAAGGTTCTCTGAATGCTTCTGTGCAGTTTTTGTGTGAAGATATTTCATTTTCCACAGTACGCCTCAAATCGCTCCAAATATCCACTCGCAGGTTCTGTAAAAAGAGAGATTCAAAACTGGTGAATCAAAAGATAGGTTCAACACTGTAACTTCAGTGCACAACTCACAAAGGTGTTTATCAGAAATCTTCTGTGTAGTTTTTATGTGAAGATATTTGTTTTTCCACAGCAGGCCCCAATGAACTCCAAATATCCACTTGCAGATTCTACAAAAAGAGTGTTTCAAAACTGCTCAATCAACAGAGACATTCAACTCTGTGAGATGAATGCACACATCACAAAGAAGTTTCTCAGAATGCTTCTGCATAGTTTTTATGTGAAGATATTTCCTTCCCCACTATAGGCCTCAAAGGCTCCAAATATCCACTTGTAGATTCTAAAAAAATAGTGTTACAAAACTGCTGTATCAAAAGAAAGATTCAACTCTGTGAGATGGATGCACAGATCACAAAGAAGTTTCTCATAAAGCTTCTGGGTAGTTTTTATTTGAAGAAATTTCCCTTTCCACAATAGGCCTCAAATTGCTCTAAATATCCACTTGCAGATTCTACAGAAAGAATGTTTCAATACTGCTCAGTCAAAAGAAAGGTTGTACTCTGTGAGGTGAATGCACACATCACAAAGTAGTTTCTCAGAATGCTTCTGTGTAGCTTCTATTTGAAGATATTTCCTTTTCCACTATAGGGCGAAATAGGGCTCCAAATATTCACTTGCAGATTCTACAAAAAGAGAGATTCTAATCTGCTCAATCAACAGATACTTTCAACATTGTTGGTTGAATGCACACATCACAAATAAGTTTCACAGAATGCTTCTGTATAGTTTTTATATGAAGATATCTCCTTCTCCAAAACAGAACTCAAAGCCCTCCAAATATTTACTTCCAGATTCTACGGAAAGATTGTCTCAAAACTGCTAAATCAAAACAAAGGTTCAACTCTGCGATGAATGCTCTCATCAGAAAGAAGTTTCTCTGAATGCTTCTGTGTAGTTTTTGTGTGAAGATATTTCATTTTCAACAGTATGCCTCAAAGCGCTCCAAATATCCACTCTCAGATTCTGTAAAAAGAGAGATTCAAAACTGCTGAATCAAAAGATACGTTCAACAACGTGACTTCAGTGCACAACTCACAAAGGTGTTTCTCAGAATGCTTCTGTGTAGTTTTTATGAGAAGTTATTTGTTTTCCACAGTAGGCCCCAATGAGCTCCAAATATCTGCTTGCAGATTCTACAAAAAGAGTGTTTCAAAACTACTCAATCAACAGAGACATTCAACTCTGTGAGATGAATGCACACATCACAAAGAAGTTTTGCCGAATGCTTCTGCATAGTTTTTATGTGAAGATATTTCCTTCTACACTGTAGGCCTGAAAAGACTCCAAATATCCATTTACAGATTCTAAAAAAAGAGTGTTTCAAAACTGCTGTATCAATAGAAACATCCAACTCTGTGAGATGAATGCACAGATCACAAAGAAGTTTCTCAGAATGCTTCTGGGTAGTTTTTAGTTGAAGAAATTTCCCTTTCCACAATAGGCCTCAAATCACTCTAAATATCCACTTGCAGATTCTACAAAAAGAGTGTTTCAACACTGCTCAATCCAAAGAAAGGTTGTACCCTGTGAGATGAATGCACGCAACACAGAGTAGTTTCTCAGAATGCTTCTGTGTAGTTTCTATTTGAAGATATTTCCTTTTCCAATATAGGGCAAAATAGGGCCCCAAATATTCACTTGCAGATTCTACAAAAAGGGAGATTCTAAACTGCTCAATCAACAGATACCTTCAACAATGTGAGTTGAATGCACACATCGCAAATAAGTTTCACAGAATGCTTCTGTGTAGTTTTTATATGAAGATATCTCCTCCTCCAAAACAGATCTCAAAGCCCTCCAAATATTCACTTCCAGATTGTACGGAAAGATTGTGTCAAAACTGCTAAATCAAAACAAAGGTTCAACTCTGTGATGAATGCACTCATCAGAAAGAAGGTTCTCTGAATGCTTCTGTGTAGTTTTTGTGTGAAGACATTTCATTTTCCACAGTATGCCTCAAAGCGCTCCAAATATCCACTCTCAGATTCTGTAAAAACAGAGATTCCAACTGCTGAATCAAAAGATAGGTTCAACACTGTGACTTAGGTGCACAATTCACAAAGATGTTCCTCAGAAATCTTCTGTGTAGTTTTTATGTGAAGATATTTGTTTTTCCACAGTAGGCCCCAATGAGCTCCAAATACCCACTTGCAGATTCTACAAAAAGAGTGTTTCAAAACTGCTCACTCAACAGAGACATTCAACTCTGTGAGATGAATGCACCCATTACAAAGAAGTTTCTCAGAATGCTTCTGCATAGTTTTTATGTGAAGATATTTCCTTCTCCACTATAGGCCTCAAAAGGCTCCAAATATCCACTTGCGGATTCTAAAAAAAGAGTGTTTCAAAACTGCTGTATCAAAACAAAGATTCAACTCTGTGAGATGAATGCACAGATCGCAAAGAAGTTTCTCAGAATGCTTCTGCATAGTTTTTATGTGAAGATATTTCCTTCTCCACTATAGGTCTCAAAAGGCTCCAAATATCCACTTGCAGATTCGAAAAAAAGACTGTTTCAAAACAGCTCAATCCAAAGAAAGGTTCTACTCTGTGAGATGAATGAACACATCATAAAGTAGTTTCTCAGAATGTTTCTGGGTAGTTTTTATTTGAAGAAATTTCCCTACCCAGAATAGGCCTCAAGTCGCTCTAAATATCCACTTGCAGATCCTACAAAAGAGTGTGTCAAAACTGCTCAATCAAAAGAAAGGTTCTACTCTGTGAGATGGATGCAAACATCAGAAAGTAGTTTCGCAGAATTCTTCTGTGTAGTTTCTATTTGAAGATATTTCCTTTTCCACTCTAGGGTGAAATAGGGCTCCAAATATTCACTTGCAGAATCTACAAAAAGAGAGATTCTAAACTGCTCAATCAACAGATACGTTCAACAACGTGAGTTGAATGCACACATCACAAATAAGTTTCACAGAATGCTTCTGTACAGTTTTTATATGAAGATATCTCCTTCTCCAAAACACAACTCAAATCCCTACATATATTCACTTCCAGATTCTACGGAATGATTGTCTCAAAACTACTAAATCAAAACAAAGGTTCAACTCTGTGATGAATGCACTCATCAGAAAGAAGGTTCTCTGAATGCTTCTGTGTAGTTTTTGTGTGAAGATATTTCATTTTCCACAGTACGCCTCAAAGCGCTCCAAATATCCAGTCTCAGCCTCTGTAAAAAGAGAGATTCAAAACTGCTGAATCAAAAGATAGGTTCAATACTGGGACTTCAGTGCACACCTCACAAAGGTGTTTCTCAGAAATCTTCTGTGTAGTTTTTATGTGAAGATATTTGTTTTTCCACAGCAGGCCCCAATGAACTCCAAATATCCACTTGCAGATTCTATAAAAAGAGTGTTTCAAAACTGCTCAATCAACAGAGACATTCAACTCTGTGAGATGAATGCACACATCACAAAGAAGTTTCTCAGAATGCTTCTGCATAGTTTTTATGTGAAGATATTTCCTTCCCCACTATAGGCCTCAAAGGCTCCAAATATCCACTTGTAGATTCTAAAAAAATAGTGTTTCAAAACTGCTGTATCAAAAGAAAGATTCAACTCTGTGAGATGGATGCACAGATCACAAAGAAGTTTCTCATAAAGCTTCTGTAGAGTTTTTATATGAAGATGTTTCCTTGTCCACCATAGGCTTCAAAGCGCTCCAAATATCCACCTGCAGATTCAACAAAAAGAGAGTTTCCAAACGGCTCAATCAAAAGAAAAGTTCAACTTTGTGAGATGAATGCACACATCACAAACAACTTTCTCAGAATGCTTCTGTGTAGCTTTTAGGTGAAGATATTTCCTTTTCCACCATAGGCAACAAAGGGCTCCAAATATGCACTTGGAGATTCTACATAAAGAGAGTTTCAAAACTGCTCTGTCAAAAGTTAAGTTCAACTCTGTGAGTTGAATGCACACACCACAAAGAAGTTTCTCAGAATGCTTCTGTGTAGCTTCTATTTGAAGATATTTCCTTTTCCACTATAGGGCGAAATAGGGCTCCAAATATTCACTTGCAGATTCTACAAAAAGAGAGATTCTAATCTGCTCAATCAACAGATACTTTCAACATTGTTGGTTGAATGCACACATCAGAAAGAAGTTTATCAGAATGCTTCTGTATAGTTTTTATATGAAGATATCTCCTTCTCCAAAACAGAACTCAAAGCCCTCCAAATATTTACTTGCAGATTCTACGGAAAGATTGTCTCAAAACTGCTAAATCAAAACAAAGGTTCAACTCTGTGATGAATGCTCTCATCAGAAAGAAGTTTCTCTGAATGCTTCTGTGTAGTTTTTGTGTGAAGATATTTCATTTTCAACAGTACGCCTCAAAGCCCTCCAAATATCCACTCTCAGATTCTGTAAAAAGAGAGATTCAAAACTGCTGAATCAAAAGATACGTTCAACAACGTGACTTCCGTGCACAACTCACAAAGGTGTTTCTCAGAATGCTTCTGTGTAGTTTTTATGAGAAGTTATTTGTTTTTCCACTGTAGGCCCCAATGAGCTCCAAATATCCACTTGCAGATTCTACAAAAAGAGTGTTTCAAAACTGCTCAATCAACAAAGACATTCAACTCTGTGAGATGAATGCACACATCACAAAGAAGTTTTGCCGAATGCTTCTGTGTAGTTTTTATGTGAAGATATTTCCTTCTACACTGTAGGCCTGAAATGACTCCAAATATCCTTTTACAGATTCTAAAAAAAGAGTGTTTCAAAACTGCTGTATCAATAGAAACATCCAACTCTGTGAGATGAATGCACAGATCACAAAGAAGTTTCTCAGAATGCTTCTGTGTAGTTTTTATGTGAAGATATTTGTTTTTCCACAGTAGTCCCCAATGAGCTCCAAATATCCACTTGCAGATTCTACAAAAAGAGTGTTTCAAAACTGCTCAATCAACAGAGACATTCAACTCTGTGAGATGAATGCACCCATCACAAAGAAGTTTCTCAGAATGCTTCTGCATAGTTTTTATGTGAAGATATTTCCTTCTCCACTATAGGCCTCAAAAGGCTCCAAATATCCACTTGCGGAATCTAAAAAAAGAGTGCTTCTAAACTTCTGTATCAAAAGAATGATTCAACACTGTGAGATGAATGCACAGATAACAAAGAAGTTCCTCAGAATGCTTCTGCATAGTTTTTATGTGAAGATATTTCCTTCTCCACCATAGGCCTCAAAAGGCTCCAAATATCCACTTGCAGATTCTAAAAAAAGAGTGTTTCAAAACTGCTCAATCCAAAGAAAGGTTCTACTCTGTGAGATGAATGCACACATCACAAAGTAGTTTCTCAGAATGCT
>NC_000020.11:29140826-29165454 GCF_000001405.40 Homo sapiens | reverse complement strand
GTTCTGTGTAGTTTTTATGGGCAGATATTTGTTTTTCCTCAGTCGGCCCCAATGAAACCCCAATTTCCACTAAAATACAAAAAAAAAAGAGAGATTGGTGGCTCACGCCTCTAATCCCAGCATTTTGGGAGGCCGAGGCAGGTGGATCCTCGAGGTCAGAGTATCGAGACAATCCTGGCTAACATGGTGAAACCCCGTCTCTACTGAAAATACAAAAAGTAGCCGGGCATGGTGGCAGATGTCTGTGTAGTTTCTATTTGAAGATATTTCCTTTTCCACTCTAGGGCGAAATAGGGCTCCAAATATTCGCTTGCAGAATCTACAAAAAGAGAGATTCTAAACTGCTCAATCAACAGATACGTTCAACAATGTGATTTGAATGCACACATCACAAATAAGTTTCACAGAATGCTTCTGTACAGTTTTTATATGAAGATATCTCCTTCTCCAAAACACAACTCAAATCCCTACAAATATTCACTTCCAGATTCTACGGAATGATTGTCTCAAAACTACTAAATCAAAACAAAGGTTCAACTCTGTGATGAATGCACTCATCAGAAAGAAGGTTCTCTGAATGCTTCTGTGCAGTTTTTGTGTGAAGATGTTTCATTTTCCACAGTACGCCTCAAAGCGCTCCAAATATCCACTCGCAGGTTCTGTAAAAAGAGAGATTCAAAACTGGTGAATCAAAAGATAGGTTCAACACTGTGACTTCAGTGCACACCTCACAAAGGTGTTTATCAGAAATCCTCTGTGTAGTTTTTATGTGAAGATATTTGTTTTTCCACAGCAGGCCCCAATGAACTCCAAATATCCACTTGCAGATTCTATAAAAAGAGTGTTTCAAAACTGCTCAATCAACAGAGACATTCAACTCTGTGAGATGAATGCACACATCACAAAGAAGTTTCTCAGAATGCTTCTGCATAGTTTTTATGTGAAGATATTTCCTTCTCCACTATAGGCCTCAAAAGGCTCCAAATATCCACCTGCAGATTCTAAAAAAATAGCGTTTCAAAACTGCTGTATCAAAAGAAAGATTCAACTCTGTGAGATGAATGCACAGATCACAAAGAAGTTTCTCAGAATGCTTCTGGGTAGTTTTTATGTGAAGAAATTTCCCTTTCCACAATAGGCCTCAAAACGCTCTAAATATCCACTTGCAGATTCTAAAAAAAGAGTGTTTCAAAACTGCTCAATCCAAAGAAAGGTTCTACTGTATGAGATGAATGCACACATCACAAAGTACTTTCTCAGAATGCTTCTGTGTAGCTTCTATTTGAAAATATTTCCTTTTCCACTATAGGGCGAAATAGGGCTCCAAATATTCACTTGCAGATTCTACAAAAAGAGAGATTCTAATCTGCTCAATCAACAGATACTTTCAACATTGTTGGTTGAATGCACACATCACAAATAAGTTTCACAGAATGCTTCTGTATAGTTTTTATATGAAGATATCTCCTTCTCCAAAACAGAACTCAAAGCCCTCCAAATATTTACTTCCAGATTCTACGGAAAGATTGTCTCAAAACTGCTAAATCAAAACAAAGGTTCAACTCTGCGATGAATGCTCTCATCAGAAAGAAGTTTCTCTGAATGCTTCTGTGTAGTTTTTGTGTGAAGATATTTCATTTTCCACAGTACGCCTCAAAGCGCTCCAAATATCCACTCTCAGATTCTGTAAAAAGAGAGATTCAAAACTGCTGAATCAAAAGATAGGTTCAACACTGTCACTTCAGGTGCACAACTCACAAAGATGTTTCTCAGAATGCTTTCTGTGTAGTTTTTATGTGAAGATATTTGTTTTTCCACAGTAGTCCTCAATGAGCTCCAAATATCCACTTGCAGATTCTACAAAAAGAGTGTTTCAAAACTGCTCAATCAACAGAGACATTCAACTCTGTGAGATGAATGCACCCATCACAAAGAAGTTTCTCAGAATGCTTCTGCATAGTTTTTATGTGAAGATATTTCCTTCTACACTGTAGGCCTGAAAAGACTCCAAATATCCATTTACAGATTCTAAAAAAAGAGTGTTTCAAAACTGCTGTATCAATAGAAACATCCAACTCTGTGAGATGAATGCACAGATCACAAAGAAGTTTCTCAGAATGCTTCTGGGTAGTTTTTAGTTGAAGAAATTTCCCTTTCCACAATAATCCTCAAATCACTCTAAATATCCACTTGCAGATTCTACAAAAAGAGTGTTTCAAAACTGCTCAATCCAAAGAAAGGTTATACCCTGTGAGATGAATGCACGCATCACAGAGTAGTTTCTCAGAATGCTTCTGTGTAGTTTCTATTTGAAGATATTTCCTTTTCCAATATAGGGCAAAATAGGGCCCCAAATATTCACTTGCAGATTCTACAAAAAGGGAGATTCTAAACTGCTCAATCAACAGATACCTTCAACAATGTGAGTTGAATGCACACATCGCAAATAAGTTTCACAGAATGCTTCTGTGTAGTTTTTATATGAAGATATCTCCTCCTCCAAAACAGATCTCAAAGCCCTCCAAATATTCACTTCCAGATTGTACGGAAAGATTGTGTCAAAACGGCTAAATCAAAACAAAGGTTCAACTCTGTGATGAATGCACTCATCAGAAAGAAGGTTCTCTGAATGCTTCTGTGTAGTTTTTGTGTGAAGACATTTCATTTTCCACAGTATGCCTCAAAGCACTCCAAATATCCACTCTCAGATTCTGTAAAAAGAGAGATTCCAAACTGCTGAATCAAAAGATAGGTTCAACACTGTGACTTAGGTGCACAATTCACAAAGATGTTCCTCAGAAATCTTCTGTGTAGTTTTTATGTGAAGATATTTGTTTTTCCACAGTAGGCCCCAATGAGCTCCAAATATCCACTTGCAGATTCCACAAAAAGAGTGTTTCAAAACTGCTCAATCAACAGAGACATTCAACCCTGTGAGATGAATGCACCCATCACAAAGAAGTTTCTCAGAATGCTTCTGCATAGTTTTTATGTGAAGATATTTCCTTCTCCACTATAGGCCTCAAAAGGCTCCAAATATCCACTTGCGGATTCTAAAAAAAGAGTGCTTCTAAACTTCTGTATCAAAAGAATGATTCAACACTGTGAGATGAATGCACAGATCACAAAGAAGTTTCTCAGAATGCTTCTGCATAGTTTTTATGTGAAGATATTTCCTTCTCCACCATAGGCCTCAAAAGGCTCCAAATATCCACTTGCAGATTCTAAAAAAAGAGTGTTTCAAAACTGCTCAATCCAAAGAAAGGTTCTACTCTGTGAGATGAATGCACACATCACAAAGTAGTTTCTCAGAATGCTTCTGGGTAGTTTTTATTTGAAGATATTTCCCTTTCCACAATAGGCCGCAAATCACTCTAAATATCCACTTGCAGATTCTACAAAAAGAGTGTTTCAAAACTGCTCAATCAAAAGAAAGGTTCTACTCGGTGAGATGAATACACACATCACAAAGTAGTTTCTCAGAATGCTTCTGTGTAGTTTCTATTTGAAGATATTTCCTTTTCCACTATAGGGCGAAATAGGGCTCCAAATATTCACTTGCAGATTCTACAAAAAGAGAGATTCTAAACTGCTCAATCAACAGATAGGTTCAACACTGTGAGTTGAATGCACACATCACAAATAAGTTTCGCAGAATGCTTCTGTACAGTTTTTATATTAAGATATCTCCTTCTCCAAAACACAACTCAAATCCCTACAAATATTCACTTCCAGATTCTACGGAATGATTGTCTCAAAACTACTAAATCAAAACAAAGGTTCAACTCTGTGATGAATGCACTCATCACAAAGAAGGTTCTCTGAATGCTTCTGTGCAGTTTTTGTGTGAAGATATTGCATTTTCCACAGTACGCCTCAAAGCGCTCCAAATATCCACTCGCAGGTTCTGTAAAAAGAGAGATTCAAAACTGGTGAATCAAAAGATAGGTTCAACACTGTGACTTCAGTGCACACCTCACAAAGGTGTTTATCAGAAATCTTCTGTGTAGTTTTTATGTGAAGATATTTGTGTTTCCACAGTAGGCCCCAATGAACTCCAAATATCTACTTGCAGATTCTACAAAAAGAGTGTTTCAAAACTGCTCAATCAACAGAGACATTCAACTCTGTGAGATGAATGCACACATCACAAAGAAGTTTCTCAGGATGCTTCTGCATACTTTTTATGTGAAGATGTTTCCTTCTCCACTATAGGCCTGAAAATGCCCCAAATATCCACCTGCAGATACTAAAAAAAGAGTGTTTCAAAACTGCTGTATCAAAAGGAAGATTCAACTCTGTGTGATGAATGCACAGATCACAAAGGAGTTTATCAGAATGCTTCTGGGAAGTTTTTATTTGAAGAAATTTCCCTTTCCACAATAGGCCTCAAGTCCCTCTAAATATCCACTTGCAGATTCTACAAAAAGAGTTCTTCAAAACTGCTCAATCCAAAGAAAGGTTCTACTCTGTGGGATGAATGCACGCATCACAAAGTAGTTTCTGAGAATGCTTCTGTGTAGCTTCTATTTGAAGATATTTCCTTTTCCACTATAGGGCGAAATAGGGCTCCAAATATTCACTTGCAGATTCTACAAAAAGAGAGATTCTAATCTGCTCAATCAACAGATACTTTCAACATTGTTGGTTGAATGCACACATCACAAATAAGTTTCACAGAATGCTTCTGTATAGTTTTTATATGAAGATATCTCCTTCTCCAAAACAGAACTCAAAGCCCTCCAAATATTTACTTCCAGATTCTACGGAAAGATTGTCTCAAAACTGCTAAATCAAAACAAAGGTTCAACTCTGTGATGAATGCTCTCATCAGAAAGAAGTTTCTCTGAATGCTTCTGTGTAGTTTTTGTGTGAAGATATTTCATTTTCAACAGTACTCCTCAAAGCGCTCCAAATATCCACTCTCAGATTCTGTAAAAAGAGAGATTCAAAACTGCTGAATCAAAAGATACGTTCAACAACGTGACTTCAGTGCACAACTCACAAAGGTGTTTCTCAGAATGCTTCTGTGTAGTTTTTATGAGAAGTTATTTGTTTTTCCACAGTAGGCCCCAATGAGCTCCAAATATCTACTTGCAGATTCTACAAAAAGAGTGTTTCAAAACTACTCAATCAACAGAGACATTCAACTCTGTGAGATGAATGCACACATCACAAATAAGTTTTGCCGAATGCTTCTGCATAGTTTTTATGTGAAGATATTTCCTTCTACACTGTAGGCCTGAAAAGACTCCAAATATCCATTTACAGATTCTAAAAAAAGAGTGTTTCAAAACTGCTGTATCAATAGAAACATCCAACTCTGTGAGATGAATGCACAGATCACAAAGAAGTTTCTCAGAATGCTTCTGGGTAGTTTTTAGTTGAAGAAATTTCCCTTTCCACAATAGGCCTCAAATCACTCTAAATATCCACTTGCAGATTCTACAAAAAGAGTGTTTCAAAACTGCTCAATCCAAAGAAAGGTTGTACGCTGTGAGATGAATGCACGCATCACAAAGTAGTTTCTCAGAATGCTTCTGTGTAGCTTCTATTTGAAGATATTTCCTTTTCCAATATAGGGCAAAATAGGGCCCCAAATATTCACTTGCAGATACTACAAAAAGGGAGATTCTAAACTGCTCAATCAACAGATACCTTCAACAATGTGAGTTGAATGCACACATCGCAAATAAGTTTCACAGAATGCTTCTGTGTAGTTTTTA
Source organism: Homo sapiens (assembly GCF_000001405.40). NCBI lineage: Eukaryota > Metazoa > Chordata > Mammalia > Primates > Hominidae > Homo > Homo sapiens. The sequence continues at coordinate 29,159,728 of NC_000020.11, read as the reverse complement.
TATGAAGATATCTCCTCCTCCAAAACAGATCTCAAAGCCCTCCAAATATTCACTTCCAGATTGTACGGAAAGATTGTGTCAAAACGGCTAAATCAAAACAAAGGTTCAACTCTGTGGTGAATGCACTCATCAGAAAGAAGGTTCTACTGAATGCTTCTGTGTAGTTTTTGTGTGAAGACATTTCATTTTCCACAGTATGCCTCAAAGCGCTCCAAATATCCACTCTCAGATTCTGTAAAAAGAGAGATTCCAAACTGCTGAATCAAAAGATAGGTTCAACACTGTGACTTAGGTGCACAATTCACAAAGATGTTCCTCAGAAATCTTCTGTGTAGTTTTTATGTGAAGATATTTCTTTTTCCACAGTAGTCCCCAATGAGCTCCAAATATCCACTTGCAGATTCTACAAAAAGAGTGTTTCAAAACTGCTCAATCAACAGAGACATTCAACTCTGTGAGATGAATGCACCCATCACAAAGAAGTTTCTCAGAATGCTTCTGCATAGTTTTTATGTGAAGATATTTCCTTCTCCACTATAGGCCTCAAAAGGCTCCAAATATCCACTTGCGGATTCTAAAAAAAGAGTGCTTCTAAACTTCTGTATCAAAAGAATGATTCAACACTGTGAGATGAATGCACAGATCACAAAGAAGTTTCTCAGAATGCTTCTGCATAGTTCTTATGTGAAGATATTTCCTTCTCCACTATAGGTCTCAAAAGGCTCCAAATATCCACTTGCAGATTCGAAAAAAAGACTGTTTCAAAACAGCTCAATCCAAAGAAAGGTTCTACTCTGTGAGATGAATGAACACATCATAAAGTAGTTTCTCAGAATGCTTCTGGGTAGTTTTTATTTGAAGAAATTTCCCTACCCAGAATAGGCCTCAAGTCGCTCTAAATACCCACTTGCAGATCCTACAAAAAGAGTGTGTCAAAACTGCTCAATCAAAAGAAAGGTTCTACTCTGTGAGATGGATGCAAACATCAGAAAGTAGTTTCGCAGAATTCTTCTGTGTAGTTTCTATTTGAAGATATTTCCTTTTCCACTCTAGGGCGAAATAGGGCTCCAAATATTCACTTGCAGAATCTACAAAAAGAGAGATTCTAAACTGCTCAATCAACAGATACGTTCAACAATGTGAGTTGAATGCACACATCACAAATAAGTTTCACAGAATGCTTCTGTACAGTTTTTATATGAAGATATCTCCTTCTCCAAAACACAACTCAAATCCCTACAAATATTCACTTCCAGATTCTACGGAATGATTGTCTCAAAACTACTAAATCAAAACAAAGGTTCAACTCTGTGATGAATGCACTCATCAGAAAGAAGGTTCTCTGAATGCTTCTGTGCAGTTTTTGTGTGAAGATATTGCATTTTCCACAGTACGCCTCAAAGCGCTCCAAATATCCACTCGCAGGTTCTGTAAAAAGAGAGATTCAAAACTGGTGAATCAAAAGATAGGTTCAACACTGTGACTTCAGTGCACAACTCACAAAGTTGTTTATCAGAAATCTTCTGTGTAGTTTTTATGTGAAGATATTTGTTTTTCCACAGCAGGCCCCAATGAACTCCAAATATCCACTTGCAGATTCTATAAAAAGAGTGTTTCAAAACTGCTCAATCAACAGAGACATTCAACTCTGTGAGATGAATGCACCCATCACAAAGAAGTTTCGCCGAATGCTTCTGCATAGTTTTTATGTGAAGATATTTCCTTCCCCACTATAGGCCTCAAAGGCTCCAAATATCCACTTGTAGATTCTAAAAAAATAGTGTTACAAAACTGCTGTATCAAAAGAAAGATTCAACTCTGTGAGATGGATGCACAGATCACAAAGAAGTTTCTCATAAAGCTTCTGGGTAGTTTTTATTTGAAGAAATTTCCCTTTCCACAATAGGCCTCAAATTGCTCTAAATATCCACTTGCAGATTCTACAGAAAGAATGTTTCAAAACTGCTCAGTCAAAAGAAAGGTTGTACTCCTGTGAGGTGAATGCACACATCACAAAGTAGTTTGCTCAGAATGCTTCTGTGTAGCTTCTATTTGAAGATATTTCCTTTTCCACTATAGGGCGAAATAGGGCTCCAAATATTCACTTGCAGATTCTACAAAAAGAGAGATTCTAATCTGCTCAATCAACAGATACTTTCAACATTGTTGGTTGAATACACACATCACAAATAAGTTTCACAGAATGCTTCTGTATAGTTTTTATATGAAGATATCTCCTTCTCCAAAACAGAACTCAAAGCCCTCCAAATATTTACTTCCAGATTCTACGGAAAGATTGTCTCAAAACTGCTAAATCAAAACAAAGGTTCAACTCTGTGATGAATGCTCTCATCAGAAAGAAGTTTCTCTGAATGCTTCTGTGTAGTTTTTATGTGAAGATATTTGATTTTCCACAGTACGCCTCAAAGTGCTCCAAATATCCACTCGCAGATTCTGCAAAAAGAGAGATTCAAAACTGCTGAATCAAAACATAGGTTCAACAATGTGACTTCAGTGCACACCTCACAAAGATGTTTCTCAGAATGCTTCTGTGTAGTTTTTGTGTGAAGATATTTCATTTTCCACAGTGCGCCTCAAAGCGCTCCAAATATCCACTCTCAGATTCTGTAAAAAGAGAGACTCAAAACTGCTGAATCAAAAGATAGGTTCAACACTGTCACTTCAGTGCACAACTCACAAAGATGTTTCTCAGAATGCTTCTGTGTAGTTTTTATGAGAAGTTATCTGTTTTTCCACAGTAGGCCCCAATGAGCTCCAAATATCCACTTGCAGATTCTACAAAAAGAGTGTTTCAAAACTGCTCAATCAACAGAGACATTCAACTCTGTGAGATGAATGCACACATCACAAACAAGTTTTGCCGAATGCTTCTGCATAGTTTTTATGTGAAGATATTTCCTTCTACACTGTAGGCCTGAAAAGACTCCAAATATCCATTTACAGATTCTAAAAAAAGAGTGTTTCAAAACTGCTGTATCAATAGAAACATCCAACTCTGTGAGATGAATGCACAGATCACAAAGAAGTTTCTCAGAATGCTTCTGGGTAGTTTTTAGTTGAAGAAATTTCCCTTTACACAATAGGCCTCAAATCACTCTAAATATCCACTTGCAGATTCTACAAAAAGAGTGTTTCAAAACTGCTCAATCCAAAGAAAGGTTGTACCCTGTGAGATGAATGCACGCATCACAGAGTAGTTTCTCAGAATGCTTCTGTGTAGTTTCTATTTGAAGATATTTCCTTTTCCAATATAGGGCAAAATAGGGCCCCAAATATTCACTTGCAGATTCTACAAAAAGGGAGATTCTAAACTGCTCAATCAACAGATACCTTCAACAATGTGAGTTGAATGCACACATCGCAAATAAGTTTCACAGAATGCTTCTGTGTAGTTTTTATATGAAGATATCTCCTCCTCCAAAACAGATCTCAAAGCCCTCCAAATATTCACTTCCAGATTGTACGGAAAGATTGTGTCAAAACTGCTAAATCAAAACAAAGGTTCAACTCTGTGATGAATGCACTCATCAGAAAGAAGGTTCTCTGAATGCTTCTGTGTAGTTTTTGTGTGAAGACATTTCATTTTCCACAGTATGCCTCAAAGCGCTCCAAATATCCACTCTCAGATTCTGTAAAAAGAGAGATTCCAAACTGCTGAATCAAAAGATAGGTTCAACACTGTGACTTAGGTGCACAATTCACAAAGATGTTCCTCAGAAATCTTCTGTGTAGTTTTTATGTGAAGATATTTGTTTTTCCACAGTAGTCCCCAATGAGATCCAAATATCCACTTGCAGATTCTACAAAAAGAGTGTTTCAAAACTGCTCAATCACCAGAGACATTCAACTCTGTGAGATGAATGCACCCATCACAAAGAAGTTTCTCAGAATTCTTCTGCATAGTTTTTAAGTGAAGATATTTCCTTCTCCACTATAGGCCTCAAAAGGCTCCAAATATCCACTTGCAGATTCTAAAAAAATAGTCTTTCAAAACTGCTGTATCAAAGAAAAATTCAACACTGTGAGATGAATGCACAGATCACAAAGAAGTTTCTCAGAATGCTTCTGCATAGTTTTTATGTGAAGATATTTCCTTCTCCACCATAGGCCTCAAAAGGCTCCAAATATCCACTTGCAGATTCTAAAAAAAGAGTGTTTCAAAACTGCTCAATCCAAAGAAAGGTTCTACTCTGTGAGATGAATGCACACATCACAAAGTAGTTTCTCAGAATGCTTCTGGGTAGTTTTTATTTGAAGAAATTTCCCTACCCAGAATAGGCCTCAAGTCGCTCTAAATATCCACTTGCAGATCCTACAAAAAGAGTGTGTCAAAACTGCTCAATCAAAAGAAAGGTTCTACTCTGTGAGATGGATGCAAACATCAGAAAGTAGTTTCGCAGAATTCTTCTGTGTAGTTTCTATTTGAAGATATTTCCTTTTCCACTCTAGGGTGAAATAGGGCTCCAAATATTCACTTGCAGAATCTACAAAAAGAGAGATTCTAAACTGCTCAATCAACAGATACGTTCAACAATGTGAGTTGAATGCACACATCACAAATAAGTTTCACAGAATGCTTCTGTACAGTTTTTATATGAAGATATCTCCTTCTCCAAAACACAACTCAAATCCCTACAAATATTCACTTCCAGATTCTACGGAATGATTGTCTCAAAACTACTAAATCAAAACAAAGGTTCAACTCTGTGATGAATGCACTCATCAGAAAGAAGGTTCTCTGAATGCTTCTGTGCAGTTTTTGTGTGAAGATATTGCATTTTCCACACTACGCCTCAAAGCGCTCCAAATATCCACTCGCAGGTTCTGTAAAAAGAGAGATTCAAAACTGGTGAATCAAAAGATAGGTTCAACACTGTAACTTCAGTGCACAACTCACAAAGTTGTTTATCAGAAATCTTCTGTGTAGTTTCTATGTGAAGATATTTGTTTTTCCACAGCAGGCCCCAATGAACTCCAAATATCCACTTGCAGATTCTATAAAAAGAGTGTTTCAAAACTGCTCAATCAACAGAGACATTCAACTCTGTGAGATGAATGCACACATCACAAAGAAGTTTCTCAGAATGCTTCTGCATAGTTTTTATGTGAAGATATTTCCTTCTCCACTATAGGCCTCAAAAGGCTCCAAATATCCACTTGTAGATCCTAAAAAAATAGTGTTTCAAAACTGCTGTATCAAAAGAAAGATTCAACTCTGTGAGATGGATGCACAGATCACAAAGAAGTTTCTCATAAAGCTTCTGGGTAGTTTTTAGTTGAAGAAATTTCCCTTTCCACAATAGGCCTCAAATCGCTCTAAATATCCACTTGCAGATTCTAAAAAAAGAGTGTTTCAAAACTGCTCAATCCAAAGAAAGGTACTACTCTGTGAGATGAATGCACACATCACAAAGTAGTTTGTCAGAATGCTTCTGTGTAGCTTCTATTTGAAGATATTTCCTTTTCCACTATAGGGCGAAATAGGGCTCCAAATATTCACTTGCAGATTCTACAAAAAGAGAGATTCTAATCTGCTCAATCAACAGATACTTTCAACATTTTTGGTTGAATGCACACATCACAAATAAGTTTCACAGAATGCTTCTGTATAGTTTTTATATGAAGATATCTCCTTCTCCAAAACAGAACTCAAAGCCCTCCAAATATTTACTTCCAGATTCTACGGAAAGATTGTCTCAAAACTGCTAAATCAAAACAAAGGTTCAACTCTGTGATGAATGCTCTCATCAGAAAGAAGTTTCTCTGAATGCTTCTGTGTAGTTTTTATGTGAAGATATTTGTTTTTCCACAGTAGGCCCCAATGAGCTACAAATATCCACTCGCAGATTCTGTAAAAAGAGAGATTCAAAACTGCTGAATCAAAAGATAGGTTCAACACTGTGACTTCAGTGCACACCTCACAAAGAAGTTTCTCAGAATGCTTCTGCATAGTTTTTATGTGAAGATATTTCCTTCTCCACTATAGGCCTCAAAAGGCTCCAAATATCCACTTGCAGATTCTGAAAAAAGAGTGTTTCAAAACTGCTGTGTCAAAAGAAAGATTCAACTCTGTTAGATGAATGCACAGATCACAAAGAAGTTTCTCAGGTTGCTTCTGCATAGTTTTTATGTGAAGATATTTCCTTCTCCACCATAGGCCTCAAAAGGCTCCAAATATCCACTTGCAGATTCTAAAAAAAGAGTGTTTCAAAACTGCTCAATCCAAAGAAAGGTTCTACTCTGTGAGATGAATGCACACATCACAAAGTAGTTTCTCAGAATGCTTCTGGGTAGTTTTTATTTGAAGAAATTTCCCTTTCCACAATAGGCCTCAAATCGCTCTAAATATCCATTTGCAGATTCTACAAAAAGAGTGTTTCAAAACTGCTCAATCAAAAGAAAGGTTCTACTCTGTGAGGTGAATGCACGCATCACAAAGTGGTTTCTCAGAATGCTTCTGTGTAGTTTCTATTTGAAGATATTTCCTTTTCCACTATAGGGTGAAATAGGGCTCCAAATATTCACTTGCAGATTCTACAAAAAGAGAGATTCTAAACTGCTCAATCAACAGATAGGTTCAACACTGTGAGTTGAATGCACACATCACAAATAAGTTTCGCAGAATGCTTCTGTGTAGTTTTTATATGAAGATATCTCCTTCTCCAAAACAGAACTCAAAGCCCTCCAAATATTCACTTCCAGATTGTACGGAAAGATTGTGTCAAAACTGCTAAATCAAAACAAAGGTTCAACTCTGTGATGAATGCACTCATCAGAAAGAAGGTTCTCTGAATGCTTCTGTGTAGTTTTAGTGTGAAGACATTTCATTTTCCACAGTATGCCTCAAAGCGCTCCAAATATCCACTCTCAGATTCTGTAAAAAGAGAGATTCCAAACTGCTGAATCAAAAGATAGGTTCAACACTGTGACTTAGGTGCACAATTCACAAAGATGTTCCTCAGAAATCTTCTGTGTAGTTTTTATGTGAAGATATTTGTGTTTCCACAGTAGGCCCCAATGAGCTCCCAATATCCACTTGCAGATTCTACAAAAAGAGTGTTTCAAAACTGCTCAATCAACAGAGACATTCAACTCTGTGAGATGAATGCACACATCACAAAGAAGTTTCTCAGAATGCTTCTGCATAGTTTTTATGTGAAGATATTTCCTTCTCCACCATAGGCCTCAAAAGGTTCCAAATATCCACTTGCAGATTCTAAAAAAAGAGTGTTTTAAATCTGCTGTACCAAAAGAAAGATTCAACTCTGTGAGATAAATGCACAGATCACAAAGAAGTTTCTCAGAATGCTTCTGGGTAGTTTTAATTTGAAGAAATTACCCTTTCCACAATAGGCCTCAAATCGCTCTAAATATCCCCATACAGTTTCTACAAAAAGAGTGTTTGAAAACTGCTCAATCCAAAGAAAGGTTCAACTCTGTAAGATGAATGCACACATCACAAAGTAGTTTCACAGAATCCTTCTGTGTAGCTTCTATTTGAAGATATTTCCTTTTCCACTATAGGGCGAAATAGGGCTCCAAATATTCACTTGCAGATTCTACAAAAAGAGAGATTCTAATCTGCTCAATCAACAGATACTTTCAACATTGTTGGTTGAATGCACACATCACAAATAAGTTTCACAGAATGCTTCTGTATAGTTTTTATATGAAGATATCTCCTTCTCCAAAACAGAACTCAAAGCCCTCCAAATATTTACTTCCAGATTCTACGGAAAGATTGTCTCAAAACTGCTAAATCAAAACAAAGGTTCAACTCTGTGATGAATGCTCTCATCAGAAAGAAGTTTCTCTGAATGCTTCTGTGTAGTTTTTGTGTGAAGGTATTTCATTTTCAACAGTACGCCTCAAAGCGCTCCAAATATCCACTCTCAGATTCTGTAAAAAGAGAGATTCAAAACTGCTGAATCAAAAGATACGTTCAACAACGTGACTTCAGTGCACAACTCACAAAGGTGTTTCTCAGAATGCTTCTGTGTAGTTTTTATGAGAAGTTATTTGTTTTTCCACAGTAGGCCCCAATGAGCTCCAAATATCTACTTGCAGATTCTACAAAAAGAGTGTTTCAAAACTACTCAATCAACAGAGACATTCAACTCTGTGAGATGAATGCACACATCACAAATAAGTTTTGCCGAATGCTTCTGCATAGTTTTTATGTGAAGATATTTCCTTCTACACTGTAGGCCTGAAAAGACTCCAAATATCCGTTTACAGATTCTAAAAAAAGAGTGTTTCAAAACTGCTGTATCAATAGAAACATCCAACTCTGTGAGATGAATGCACAGATCACAAAGAAGTTTCTCAGAATGCTTCTGGGTAGTTTTTAGTTGAAGAAATTTCCCTTTCCACAGTAGGCCTCAAATCACTCTAAATATCCACTTGCAGATTCTACAAAAAGAGTGTTTCAAAACTGCTCAATCCAAAGAAAGGTTGTACCCTGTGAGATGAATGCACGCATCACAGAGTAGTTTCTCAGAATGCTTCTGTGTAGTTTCTATTTGAAGATATTTCCTTTTCCAATATAGGGCAAAATAGGGCCCCAAATATTCACTTGCAGATTCTACAAAAAGAGAGATTCTAAACTACTCAATCAACAGATACCTTCAACAATGTGAGTTGAATGCACACATCGCAAATAAGTTTCACAGAATGCTTCTGTGTAGTTTTTATATGAAGATATCTCCTCCTCCAAAACAGATCTCAAAGCCCTCCAAATATTCACTTCCAGATTGTACGGAAAGATTGTGTCAAAACGGCTAAATCAAAACAAAGGTTCAACTCTGTGATGAATGCACTCATCAGAAAGAAGGTTCTCTGAATGCTTCTGTGTAGTTTTTGTGTGAAGACATTTCATTTTCCACAGTATGCCTCAAAGCGCTCCAAATATCCACTCTCAGATTCTGTAAAAAGAGAGATTCCAAACTGCTGAATCAAAAGATAGGTTCAACACTGTGACTTAGGTGCACAATTCACAAAGATGTTCCTCAGAAATCTTCTGTGTAGTTTTTATGTGAAGATATTTGTTTTTCCACAGTAGTCCCCAATGAGCTCCAAATATCCACTTGCAGATTCTACAAAAAGAGTGTTTCAAAACTGCTCAATCAACAGAGACATTCAACTCTGTGAGATGAATGCACCCATCACAAAGAAGTTTCTCAGAATGCTTCTGCATAGTTTTTATGTGAAGATATTTCCTTCTCCACTATAGGCCTCAAAAGGCTCCAAATATCCACTTGCGGATTCTAAAAAAAGAGTGCTTCTAAACTTCTGTATCAAAAGAATGATTCAACACTGTGAGATGAATGCACAGATCACAAAGAAGTTTCTCAGAATGCTTCTGCATAGTTTTTATGTGAAGATATTTCCTTCTCCACTATAGGTCTCAAAAGGCTCCAAATATCCACTTGCAGATTCGAAAAAAAGACTGTTTCAAAACAGCTCAATCCAAAGAAAGGTTCTACTCTGTGAGATGAATGAACACATCATAAAGTAGTTTCTCAGAATGTTTCTGGGTAGTTTTTATTTGAAGAAATTTCCTTACCCAGAATAGGCCTCAAGTCGCTCTAAATATCCACTTGCAGATCCTGCAAAAAGAGTGTGTCAAAACTGCTCAATCAAAAGAAAGGTTCTACACTGTGAGATGGATGCAAACATCAGAAAGTAGTTTCGCAGAATTCTTCTGTGTGGTTTCTATTTGAAGATATTTCCTTTTCCACTCTAGGGCGAAATAGGGCTCCAAATATTCACTTGCAGAATCTACAAAAAGAGAGATTCTAAACTGCTCAATCAACAGATACGTTTAACAATGTGAGTTGAATGCACACATCACAAATAAGTTTCACAGAATGCTTCTGTACAGTTTTTATATGAAGATATCTCCTTCTCCAAAACACAACTCAAATCCCTACAAATATTCACTTCCAGATTCTACGGAATGATTGTCTCAAAACTACTAAATCAAAACAAAGGTTCAACTCTGTGATGAATGCACTCATCAGAAAGAAGGTTCTCTGAATGCTTCTGTGCAGTTTTTGTGTGAAGATATTTCATTTTCCACAGTACGCCTCAAAGCGCTCCAAATATCTACTCGCAGGTTCTGTAAAAAGAGAGATTCAAAACTGGTGAATCAAAAGATAGGTTCAACACTGTGACTTCAGTGCACAACTCACAAAGGTGTTTATCAGAAATCTTCTGTGTAGTTTTTATGTGAAGATATTTGTTTTTCCACAGCAGGCCCCAATGAACTCCAAATATCCACTTGCAGATTCTATAAAAAGAGTGTTTCAAAACTGCTCAATCAACAGAGACATTCAACTCTGTGAGATGAATGCACACATCACAAAGAAGTTTCTCAGAATACTTCTGCATAGTTTTTATGTGAAGATATTTCCTTCCCCACTATAGGCCTCAAAGGTTCCAAATATCCACTTGTAGATTCTAAAAAAATAGTGTTACAAAACTGCTGTATCAAAAGAAAGATTCAACTCTGTGAGATGGATGCACAGATCACAAAGAAGTTTCTCATAAAGCTTCTGGGTAGTTTTTATTTGAAGAAATTTCCCTTTCCACAATAGGCCTCAAATTGCTCTAAATATCCACTTGCAGATTCTACAGAAAGAATGTTTCAAAACTGCTCAGTCAAAAGAAAGGTTGTACTCTGTGAGGTGAATGCACACTTCACAAAGTAGTTTCTCAGAATGCTTCTGTGTAGTTTTTGTGTGAAGATAATTCATTTTCCACAGTAGGCCTCAAAGCGCTCCAAATATCCACTCGCAGATTCTGTAAAAAGAAAGATTCAAAACTGCTGAATCAAAAGATACGTTCAACAATGTGAGCTGAATGCACACATCACAAATAAGGTTGACAGAATGCTTCTGTGTAGTTTTTATGAGAAGTTATTTGTTTTTCCACAGTAGGCCCCAATGAGCTCCAAATATCCACTTGCAGATTCTACAAAAAGAGTGTTTCAAAACTGCTCAATCAACAGAGACATTCAACTCTGTGAGATGAATGCACACATCACAAAGAAGTTTTGCCGAATGCTTCTGCATAGTTTTTATGTGAAGATATTTCCTTCTACACTGTAGGCCTGAAAAGACTCCAAATATCCATTTACAGATTCTAAAAAAAGAGTGTTTCAAAACTGCTGTATCAATAGAAACATCCAACTCTGTGAGATGAATGCACAGATCACAAAGAAGTTTCTCAGAATGCTTCTGGGTAGTTTTTAGTTGAAGAAATTTCCCTTTCCACAGTAGGCCTCAAATCACTCTAAATATCCACTTGCAGATTCTACAAAAAGAGTGTTTCAAAACTGCTCAATCCAAAGAAAGGTTGTACCCTGTGAGATGAATGCACGCATCACAAAGTAGTTTCTCAGAATGCTTCTGTGTAGTTTCTATTTGAAGATATTTCCTTTTCCAATATAGGGCAAAATAGGGCCCCAAATATTCACTTGCAGATTCTACAAAAAGGGAGATTCTAAACTGCTCAATCAACAGATACCTTCAACAATGTGAGTTGAATGCACACATCGCAAATAAGTTTCACAGAATGCTTCTGTGTAGTTTTTATATGAAGATATCTCCTCCTCCAAAACAGATCTCAAAGCCCTCCAAATATTCACTTCCAGATTGTACGGAAATAGTGTGTCAAAACTGCTAAATCAAAACAAAGGTTCAACTCTGTGATGAATGCACTCATCAGAAAGAAGGTTCTCTGAATGCTTCTGTGTAGTTTTTGTGTGAAGACATTTCATTTTCCACAGTATGCCTCAAAGCGCTCCAAATATCCACTCTCAGATTCTGTAAAAAGAGAGATTCCAAACTGCTGAATCAAAAGATAGGTTCAACACTGTGACTTAGGTGCACAATTCAAAAAGATGTTCCTCAGAAATCTTCTGTGTAGTTCTTATGTGAAGATATTTGTTTTTCCACAGTAGGCCCCAATGAGCTCCAAATATCCACTTGCAGATTCTTCAAAAAGAGTGTTTCAAAACTGCTCAATCAACAGAGACATTCAGTTCTGTGAGATGAATGCACACATCACAAAGAAGTTTCTCAGAATGCTTCTGCGTAGTTTTTATGTGAAGATATTTCCTTCTCCACTATAGGCCTCAAAAGGCTCCAAATATCCACTTGCAGATTCCAAAAAAGTAGTGTTTCAAAACTGCTGTATCAAAAGAAAGATTCAACTCTGTGCGATGAATGCACAGATCACAAAGAAGTTTCTCAGAATGCTTCTGGGTAGTTTTTATTTGAAGATATTTCCCTTTCCACAATAGGCCGCAAATCGCTCTAAATATCCACTTGCAGATTCTACAAAAAGAGTGTTTCAAAACTGCTCAATCAAAAGAAAGGTTCTACTCTGTGAGATGAATACACACATGACAAAGTAGTTTCTCAGAATGCTTCTGTGTAGCTTCTATTTGAAGATATTTCCTTTTCCACTATAGGGCGAAATAGGGCTCCAAATATTCACTTGCAGATTCTACAAAAAGAGAGATTCTAATCTGCTCAATCAACAGATACTTTCAACATTGTTGGTTGAATGCACACATCACAAATAAGTTTCACAGAATGCTTCTGTGTAGTTTGTATATGAAGATATCTCCTTCTCCAAAACAGAACTCAAAGCCCTCCAAATATTTACTTCCAGATTCTACAGAAAGATTGCCTCAAAACTGCTAAATCAAAACAAAGGTTCAACTCTGTGATGAATGCGCTCATCAGAAAGAAGGTTCTCTGAATGCTTCTGTGTAGTTTTTATGTGAAGATATTTGATTTTCCACAGTTCGCCTCAAAGTGCTCCAAATATCCACTCGCAGATTCTGCAAAAAGAGAGATTCAAAACTGCTGAATCAAAAGATAGGTTCAACACTGTGACTTCAGTGCACACCTCATAAAGATGTTTCTCAGAATGCTTCTGTGTAGTTTTTATGAGAAGTTATTTGTTTTTCCACAGTAGGCCCCAATGAGCTCCAAATATCTACTTGCAGATTCTACAAAAAGAGTGTTTCAAAACTACTCAATCAACAGAGACATTCAACTCTGTGAGATGAATGCACACATCACAAATAAGTTTTGCCGAATGCTTCTGCATAGTTTTTATGTGAAGATATTTCCTTCTACACTGTAGGCCTGAAAAGGCTCCAAATATCCATTTACAGATTCTAAAAAAAGAGTGTTTCAAAACTGCTATATCAATAGAAACATCCAACTCTGTGAGATGAATGCACAGATCACAAAGAAGTTTCTCAGAATGCTTCTGGGTAGTTTTTAGTTGAAGAAATTTCCCTTTCCACAGTAGGCCTCAAATCACTCTAAATATCCACTTGCAGATTCTACAAAAAGAGTGTTTCAAAACTGCTCAATCCAAAGAAAGGTTGTACCCTGTGAGATGAATGCACGCATCACAAAGTAGTTTCTCAGAATGCTTCTGTGTAGCTTCTATTTGAAGATATTTCCTTTTCCAATATAGGGCAAAATAGGGCCCCAAATATTCACTTGCAGATACTACAAAAAGGGAGATTCTAAACTGCTCAATCAACAGATACCTTCAACAATGTGAGTTGAATGCACACATCGCAAATAAGTTTCACAGAATGCTTCTGTATAGTTTTTATATGAAGATATCTCCTTCTCCAAAACAGAACTCAAAGCCCTCCAAATATTTACTTCCAGATTCTACGGAAAGATTGTCTCAAAACTGCTAAATCAAAACAAAGGTTCAACTCTGTGATGAATGCTCTCATCAGAAAGAAGTTTCTCTGAATGCTTCTGTGTAGTTTTTGTGTGAAGATATTTCATTTTCAACAGTACGCCTCAAAGCCCTCCAAATATCCACTCTCAGATTCTGTAAAAAGAGAGATTCAAAACTGCTGAATCAAAAGATACGTTCAACAACGTGACTTCAGTGCACAACTCACAAAGGTGTTTCTCAGAATGCTTCTGTGTAGTTTTTATGAGAAGTTATCTGTTTTTCCACAGTAGGCCCCAATGAGCTCCAAATATCCACTTGCAGATTCTACAAAAAGAGTGTTTCAAAACTGCTCAATCAACAGAGACATTCAACTCTGTGAGATGAATGCACACATCACAAACAAGTTTTGCCGAATGCTTCTGTGTAGTTTTTATGTGAAGATATTTCCTTCTACACTGTAGGCCTGAAATGACTCCAAATATCCTTTTACAGATTCTAAAAAAAGAGTGTTTCAAAACTGCTGTATCAATAGAAACATCCAACTCTGTGAGATGAATGCACAGATCACAAAGAAGTTTCTCAGAATGCTTCTGTGTAGTTTTTATGTGAAGATATTTGTTTTTCCACAGTAGTCCCCAATGAGCTCCAAATATCCACTTGCAGATTCTACAAAAAGAGTGTTTCAAAACTGCTCAATCAACAGAGACATTCAACTCTGTGAGATGAATGCACCCATCACAAAGAAGTTTCTCAGAATGCTTCTGCATAGTTTTTATGTGAAGATATTTCCTTCTCCACTATAGGCCTCAAAAGGCTCCAAATATCCACTTGCGGATTCTAAAAAAAGAGTGCTTCTAAACTTCTGTATCAAAAGAATGATTCAACACTGTGAGATGAATGCACAGATCACAAAGAAGTTTCTCAGAATGCTTCTCCATAGTTTTTATGTGAAGATATTTCCTTCTCCACTATAGGTCTCAAAAGGCTCCAAATATCCACTTGCAGATTCGAAAAAAAGACTGTTTCAAAACAGCTCAATCCAAAGAAAGGTTCTACTCTGTGAGATGAATGAACACATCATAAAGTAGTTTCTCAGAATGCTTCTGGGTAGTTTTTATTTGAAGAAATTTCCCTACCCAGAATAGGCCTCAAGTCGCTCTAAATATCCACTTGCAGATCCTACAAAAAGAGTGTGTCAAAACTGCTCAATCAAAAGAAAGGTTCTACTCTGTGAGATGGATGCAAACATCAGAAAGTAGTTTCACAGAATTCTTCTGTGTAGTTTCTATTTGAAGATATTTCCTTTTCCACTCTAGGGCGAAGTAGGGCTCCAAATATTCACTTGCAGAATCTACAAAAAGAGAGATTCTAAACTGCTCAATCAACAGATACGTTCAACAATGTGAGTTGAATGCACACATCACAAATAAGTTTCACAGAATGCTTCTGTACAATTTTTATATGAAGATATCTCCTTCTCCAAAACACAACTCAAATCCCTACAAATATTCACTTCCAGATTCTACGGAATGATTGTCTCAAAACTACTAAATCAAAACAAAGGTTCAACTCTGTGATGAATGCACTCATCAGAAAGAAGGTTCTCTGAATGCTTCTGTGAAGTTTTTGTGTGAAGATATTTCATTTTCCACAGTAAGCCCCAAAGCGCTCCAAATATCCACTCGCAGGTTCTGTAAAAAGAGAGATTCAAAACTGCTGAATCAAAAGATAGGTTCAACACTCTGACTTCAGTGCACACCTCACAAAAGTGTTTCTCAGAAATCTTCTGTGTAGTTTTTATGTGAAGATATTTGTTTTTCCACAGCAGGCCCCAATGAACTCCGAATATCCACTTGCAGATTCTATAAAAAGAGTGTTTCAAAACTGCTCAATCAACAGAGACATTCAACTCTGTGAGATGAATGCACACATCACAAAGAAGTTTCTCAGAATGCTTCTGCATAGTTTTTATGTGAAGATATTTCCTTCTCCACTATAGGCCTCAAAAGGCTCCAAATATCCACTTGCAGATTCTGAAAAAAGAGTGTTTCAAAACTGCTGTGTCAAAAGAAAGATTCAACTCTGTTAGATGAATGCACAGATCACAAAGAAGTTTCTCAGGATGCTTCTGCATAGTTTTTATGTGAAGATATTTCCTTCTCCACCATAGGCCTCAAAAGGCTCCAAATATCCACTTGCAGATTCTAAAAAAAGAGTGTTTCAAAACTGCTCAATCCAAAGAAAGGTTCTACTCTGTGAGATGAATGCACACATCACAAAGTAGTTTCTCAGAATGCTTCTGGGTAGTTTTTATTTGAAGAAATTTCCCTTTCCACAATAGGCCTCAAATCGCTCTAAATATCCATTTGCAGATTCTACAAAAAGAGTGTTTCAAAACTGCTCAATCAAAAGAAAGGTTCTACTCTGTGAGGTGAATGCACGCATCACAAAGTGGTTTCTCAGAATGCTTCTGTGTAGTTTCTATTTGAAGATATTTCCTTTTCCACTCTAGGGCGAAATAGGGCTCCAAATATTCACTTGCAGATTCTACGAAAAGAGAGATCCTAAACTGCTCAATCAACAGATACGTTCAACAACTTGAGTTGAAAGCACACATCACAAATAAGTTTCACAGAATGCTTCTGTGTAGTTTTTATATGAAGATATCTCCTTCTCCAAAACAGAACTCAAAGCCCTCCAAATATTCACTTCCAGATTGTACGGAAAGATTGTGTCAAAACTGCTAAATCAAAACAAAGGTTCAACTCTGTGATGAATGCACTCATCAGAAAGAAGGTTCTCTGAATGCTTCTGTGTAGTTTTTGTGTGAAGATATTTCATTTTCCACAGTACGCCTCAAAGCGCTCCAAATATCCACTCGCAGGTTCTGTAAAAAGAGAGATTCAAAACTGCTGAATCAAAAGATAGGTTCAACACTGTGACTTCAGTGCACAACTCACAAAGGTGTTTCTCAGAAATCTTCTGTGTAGTTTTTATGTGAAGATATTTGTTTTTCCACAGTAGGCCCCAATGAGCTCCAAATATCCACTTGCAGATTCTACAAAAAGAGTGTTTCAAAACTGCTCAATCAACAGAGACATTCAACTCTGTGAGATGAATGCACCCATCACAAAGAAGTTTCTCAGAATGCTTCTGCGTAGTTTTTATGTGAAGATATTTCCTTCTCCACTATAGGCCTCAAAAGGCTCCAAATATCCACTTGCGGATTCTAAAAAAAGAGTGTTTCAAAACTGCTGTATCAAAACAAAGATTCAACTCTGTGAGATGAATGCACAGATCGCAAAGAAGTTTCTCAGAATGCTTCTGGGTAGTTTTTATGTGAAGAAATTTCCCTTTCCACAATAGGCCTCAAAACGCTCTAAATATCCACTTGCAGATTCTAAAAAAAGAGTGTTTCAAAACTGCTCAATCCAAAGAAAGGTTCTACTGTATGAGATGAATGCACACATCACAAAGTACTTTCTCAGAATGCTGCTGTGTAGTTTTTATTTGAGGATAGTTCATTTTCCACCATAGGCCTCAAAGGGCTCTAAATATGCACTTGCAGATGGTACAAAAAGAGAGATTCAAAACTGTTCAATCAAAAGGTAGTTTCAACCCTGTGATATGAATGCACACATCACAGAGAAGTTTCTCAAAATGTTTCTTTGTAGTTTTGATATGAAGATATCTCCTTCTCCAAAATAGATCTCAAAGCCCTCCAAATATTCACTTCCAGATTCTATGGAAAGAGTCTCAAAACTGCTCAGTCAAAATAAAGGTAGAACTCTGTGAGAAGAATGCACACATCACAAAGAAGTTTCTCAGAATATATCTGTGTAGTTTTTATGTGAAGATATTTGTTTTTCCACAGTAGGCCCCAATGAGCTACAAATATCCACTCGCAGATTCTGTAAAAAGAGAGATTCAAAACTGCTGAATCAAAAGATAGGTTCAACACTGTGACTTCAGTGCACACCTCACAAAGAAGTTTCTCAGAATGCTTCTGCATAGTTTTTATGTGAAGATATTTCCTTCTCCACTATAGGCCTCAAAAGGCTCCAAATATCCACTTGCAGATTCTGAAAAAAGAGTGTTTCAAAACTGCTGTGTCAAAAGAAAGATTCAACTCTGTTAGATGAATGCACAGATCACAAAGAAGTTTCTCAGGATGCTTCTGCATAGTTTTTATGTGAAGATATTTCCTTCTCCACCATAGGCCTCAAAAGGCTCCAAATATCCACTTGCAGATTCTAAAAAAAGAGTGTTTCAAAACTGCTCAATCCAAAGAAAGGTTCTACTCTGTGAGATGAATGCACACATCACAAAGTAGTTTCTCAGAATGCTTCTGGGTAGTTTTTATTTGAAGATATTTCTCTTTCCACAATAAGCCTCAAATTGCTCTAAATATCCACTTTCAGATTCTACAAAAAGAGTGTTTCAAAACTGCTCAATCAAAAGAAAGGTTCTACTCTGTGAGATGAATGCACACATCACTAAGTAGTTTCTCAGAATGCTTCTGTGTAGTTTCTATTTGAAGATATTTCCTTTTCCACTCTAGGGCGAAATAGGGCTCCAAATATTCACTTGCAGATTCTACGAAAAGAGAGATTCTAAACTGCTCAATCAACAGATACGTTCAACAACTTGAGTTGAAAGCACACATCACAAATAAGTTTCACAGAATGCTTCTGTGTAGTTTTTATATGAAGATATCTCCTTCTCCAAAACAGAACTCAAAGCCCTCCAAATATTCACTTCCAGATTGTACGGAAAGATTGTGTCAAAACTGCTAAATCAAAACAAAGGTTCAACTCTGTGATGAATGCACTCATCAGAAAGAAGGTTCTCTGAATGCTTTTTTTTTTTTTAGCGGAGTCTTGCTCTCTCGCCCAGGCTGGAGTGCAGAGGCGCGATCTCGGCTCACTGCAAGCTCCGCCTCCCGGGCTCACGCCATTCTCCTGCCTCACCCTCCCGAGTAGCTGGGACTACAGGCGCCCGCTACCACGGCCCGGCTAATTTTTTGTATTTTTTTTTAGTAGAGACAGGGTTTCACCGTGTTAGCCAGGATGGTCTCGATCTCCTGACCTCGTGATCCGCCCGCCTCGGCCTCCCAAAGTGCTGGGATTACAGGCGTGAGCCACCGCGCCCAGCCT
>NC_000020.11:29129796-29140726 GCF_000001405.40 Homo sapiens | reverse complement strand
TCTGTGTAGTTTTTATGTGAAGATATTTGTTTTTCCACAGCAGGCCCCAATGAACTCCAAATATCCACTTGCAGATTCTATAAAAAGAGTGTTTCAAAACTGCTCAATCAACAGAGACATTCAACTCTGTGAGATGAATGCACACATCACAAAGAAGTTTCTCAGAATGCTTCTGCATAGTTTTTATGTGAAGATATTTCCTTCTCCACTATAGGCCTCAAAAGGCTCCAAATATCCACTTGTAGATCCTAAAAAAATAGTGTTTCAAAACTGCTGTATCAAAAGAAAGATTCAACTCTGTGAGATGGATGCACAGATCACAAAGAAGTTTCTCATAAAGCTTCTGGGTAGTTTTTAGTTGAAGAAATTTCCCTTTCCACAATAGGCCTCAAATCGCTCTAAATATCCACTTGCAGATTCTAAAAAAAGAGTGTTTCAAAACTGCTCAATCCAAAGAAAGGTACTACTCTGTGAGATGAATGCACACATCACAAAGTAGTTTGTCAGAATGCTTCTGTGTAGCTTCTATTTGAAGATATTTCCTTTTCCACTATAGGGCGAAATAGGGCTCCAAATATTCACTTGCAGATTCTACAAAAAGAGAGATTCTAATCTGCTCAATCAACAGATACTTTCAACATTGTTGGTTGAATGCACACATCACAAATAAGTTTCACAGAATGCTTCTGTATAGTTTTTATATGAAGATATCTCCTTCTCCAAAACAGAACTCAAAGCCCTCCAAATATTTACTTCCAGATTCTACGGAAAGATTGTCTCAAAACTGCTAAATCAAAACAAAGGTTCAACTCTGCGATGAATGCTCTCATCAGAAAGAAGTTTCTCTGAATGCTTCTGTGTAGTTTTTATGTGAAGATATTTGATTTTCCACAGTTCGCCTCAAAGTGCTCCAAATATCCACTCGCAGATTCTGCAAAAAGAGAGATTCAAAACTGCTGAATCAAAAGATAGGTTCAACACTGTGACTTCAGTGCACACCTCACAAAGATGTTTCTCAGAATGCTTCTGTGTAGTTTTTATGAGAAGTTATTTGTTTTCCACAGTAGGCCCCAATGAGCTCCAAATATCTGCTTGCAGATTCTACAAAAAGAGTGTTTCAAAACTACTCAATCAACAGAGACATTCAACTCTGTGAGATGAATGCACACATCACAAAGAAGTTTTGCCGAATGCTTCTGCATAGTTTTTATGTGAAGATATTTCCTTCTACACTGTAGGCCTGAAAAGACTCCAAATATCCATTTACAGATTCTAAAAAAAGAGTGTTTCAAAACTGCTGTATCAATAGAAACATCCAACTCTGTGAGATGAATGCACAGATCACAAAGAAGTTTCTCAGAATGCTTCTGGGTAGTTTTTATTTGAAGAAATTTCCCTTTCCACAATAGGCCTCAAATCACTCTAAATATCCACTTGCAGATTCTACAAAAAGAGTGTTTCAAAACTGCTCAATCCAAAGAAAGGTTGTACCCTGTGAGATGAATGCACACATCACAAAGTAGTTTGCTCAGAATGCTTCTGTGTAGTTTCTATTTGAAGATATTTCCTTTTCCAATATAGGGCAAAATAGGGCCCCAAATATTCACTTGCAGATTCTACAAAAAGAGAGATTCTAAACTACTCAATCAACAGATACCTTCAACAATGTGAGTTGAATGCACACATCGCAAATAAGTTTCACAGAATGCTTCTGTGTAGTTTTTATATGAAGATATCTCCTTCTCCAAAAGAGAACTCAAAGCCCTCCAAATATTCACTTCCAGATTCTACGGAAGGATTGTGTCAAAACTGCTAAATCAAAACAAAGGTTCAACTCTGTGATGAATGCACTCATCAGAAAGAAGGTTCTCTGAATGCTTCTGTGTAGTTTTTGTGTGAAGACATTTCATTTTCCACAGTATGCCTCAAAGCGCTCCAAATATCCACTCTCAGATTCTGTAAAAAGAGAGATTCCAAACTGCTGAATCAAAAGATAGGTTCAACACTGTGACTTAGGTGCACAATTCACAAAGATGTTCCTCAGAAATCTTCTGTGTAGTTTTTATGTGAAGATATTTGTTTTTCCACAGTAGTCCCCAATGAGCTCCAAATATCCACTTGCAGATTCTACAAAAAGAGTGTTTCAAAACTGCTCAATCAACAGAGACATTCAACTCTGTGAGATGAATGCACCCATCACAAAGAAGTTTCTCAGAATGCTTCTGCATAGTTTTTATGTGAAGATATTTCCTTCTCCACTATAGGCCTCAAAAGGCTCCAAATATCCACTTGCGGATTCTAAAAAAAGAGTGCTTCTAAACTTCTGTATCAAAAGAATGATTCAACACTGTGAGATGAATGCACAGATCACAAAGAAGTTTCTCAGAATGCTTCTGCATAGTTCTTATGTGAAGATATTTCCTTCTCCACTATAGGTCTCAAAAGGCTCCAAATATCCACTTGCAGATTCGAAAAAAAGACTGTTTCAAAACAGCTCAATCCAAAGAAAGGTTCTACTCTGTGAGATGAATGAACACATCATAAAGTAGTTTCTCAGAATGCTTCTGGGTAGTTTTTATTTGAAGAAATTTCCCTACCCAGAATAGGCCTCAAGTCGCTCTAAATATCCACTTGCAGATCCTACAAAAAGAGTGTGTCAAAACTGCTCAATCAAAAGAAAGGTTCTACTCTGTGAGATGGATGCAAACATCAGAAAGTAGTTTCGCAGAATTCTTCTGTGTAGTTTCTATTTGAAGACATTTCCTTTTCCACTATAGGGTGAAATAGGGCTCCAAATATTCACTTGCAGATTCTACAAAAAGGGAGTTTCTAAACTGCTCAATCAACAGATACGTTCAACAATATGAGTTGAATGCACACATCACAAATAAGTTTCACAGAATGCTTCTGTGTAGTTTTTATATGAAGATATCTCCTTCTCCAAAAGAGAACTCAAAGCCCTCCAAATATTCACTTCCAGATTCTACGGAAAGATTGTGTCAAAACTGCTAAATCAAAACAAAGGTTCAACTCTGTGATGAATGCACTCATCAGAAAGAAGGTTCTCTGAATGCTTCTGTGCAGTTTTTGTGTGAAGATATTTCATTTTCCACAGTACGCCTCAAAGCGCTCCAAATATCCACTCCCAGATTCTGTAAAAAGAGAGATTCAAAACTGCTGAATCAAAAGATAGGTTCAACACTGTGACTTCAGTGCACAACTCACAAAGATGTTTATAAGAATGCTTCTGTGTAGTTTTTATGTGAAGATATTTGTTTTTCCACAGCAGGCCCCAATGAACTCCAAATATCCACTTGCAGATTCTATAAAAAGAGTGTTTCAAAACTGCTCAATCAACAGAGACATTCAACTCTGTGAGATGAATGCACCCATCACAAAGAAGTTTCGCCGAATGCTTCTGCATAGTTTTTATGTGAAGATATTTCCTTCTCCACTATAGGCCTCAAAAGGCTCCAAATATCCACTTGTAGATCCTAAAAAAATAGTGTTTCAAAACTGCTGTATCAAAAGAAAGATTCAACTCTGTGAGATGGATGCACAGATCACAAAGAAGTTTCTCATAAAGCTTCTGGGTAGTTTTTATTTGAAGAAATTTCCCTTTCCACAATAGGCCTCAAATCGCTCTAAATATCCACTTGCAGATTCTAAAAAAAGAGTGTTTCAAAACTGCTCAATCCAAAGAAAGGTACTACTCTGTGAGATGAATGCACACATCACAAAGTAGTTTGTCAGAATGCTTCTGTGTAGCTTCTATTTGAAGATATTTAATTTTCCACTATAGGGCGAAATAGGGCTCCAAATATTCACTTGCAGATTCTACAAAAAGAGAGATTCTAATCTGCTCAATCAACAGATACTTTCAACATTGTTGGTTGAATGCACACATCACAAATAAGTTTCACAGAATGCTTCTGTATAGTTTTTATATGAAGATATCTCCTTCTCCAAAACAGAACTCAAAGCCCTCCAAATATTTACTTCCAGATTCTACGGAAAGATTGTCTCAAAACTGCTAAATCAAAACAAAGGTTCAACTCTGTGATGAATGCTCTCATCAGAAAGAAGTTTCTCTGAATGCTTCTGTGTAGTTTTTGTGTGAAGATATTTCATTTTCAACAGTACTCCTCAAAGCGCTCCAAATATCCACTCTCAGATTCTGTAAAAAGAGAGATTCAAAACTGCTGAATCAAAAGATACGTTCAACAACGTGACTTCAGTGCACAACTCACAAAGGTGTTTCTCAGAATGCTTCTGTGTAGTTTTTATGTGAAGATATTTGATTTTCCACAGTAGGCCCCAATGAGCTCCAAATATCCACTTGCAGATTCTACAAAAAGAGTGTTTCAAAACTGCTCAATCAACAGAGACATTCAGCTCTGTGAGATGAATGCACCCATCACAAAGAAGTTTCTCAGAATGCTTCTGCATAGTTTTTATGTGAAGATATTTCCTTCTACACTGTAGGCCTGAAAAGACTCCAAATATCCATTTACAGATTCTAAAAAAAGAGTGTTTCAAAACTGCTGTATCAATAGAAACATCCAACTCTGTGAGATGAATGCACAGATCACAAAGAAGTTTCTCAGAATGCTTCTGGGTAGTTTTTAGTTGAAGAAATTTCCCTTTCCACAGTAGGCCTCAAATCACTCTAAATATCCACTTGCAGATTCTACAAAAAGAGTGTTTCAAAACTGCTCAATCCAAAGAAAGGTTGTACCCTGTGAGATGAATGCACGCATCACAAAGTAGTTTCTCAGAATGCTTCTGTGTAGTTTCTATTTGAAGATATTTCCTTTTCCAATATAGGGCAAAATAGGGCCCCAAATATTCACTTGCAGATTCTACAAAAAGGGAGATTCTAAACTGCTCAATCAACAGATACCTTCAACAATGTGAGTTGAATGCACACATCGCAAATAAGTTTCACAGAATGCTTCTGTGTAGTTTTTATATGAAGATATCTCCTCCTCCAAAACAGATCTCAAAGCCCTCCAAATATTCACTTCCAGATTGTACGGAAAGATTGTGTCAAAACTGCTAAATCAAAACAAAGGTTCAACTCTGTGATGAATGCACTCATCAGAAAGAAGGTTCTCTGAATGCTTCTGTGTAGTTTTTGTGTGAAGACATTTCATTTTCCACAGTATGCCTCAAAGCGCTCCAAATATCCACTCTCAGATTCTGTAAAAACAGAGATTCCAACTGCTGAATCAAAAGATAGGTTCAACACTGTGACTTAGGTGCACAATTCACAAAGATGTTCCTCAGAAATCTTCTGTGTAGTTTTTATGTGAAGATATTTGTTTTTCCACAGTAGTCCCCAATGAGCTCCAAATATCCACTTGCAGATTCTACAAAAAGAGTGTTTCAAAACTGCTCAATCAACAGAGACATTCAACTCTGTGAGATGAATGCACCCATCACAAAGAAGTTTCTCAGAATGCTTCTGCATAGTTTTTATGTGAAGATATTTCCTTCTCCACTATAGGCCTCAAAAGGCTCCAAATATCCACTTGCGGATTCTAAAAAAAGAGTGCTTCTAAACTTCTGTATCAAAAGAATGATTCAACACTGTGAGATGAATGCACAGATCACAAAGAAGTTTCTCAGAATGCTTCTGCATAGTTTTTATGTGAAGATATTTCCTTCTCCACTATAGGTCTCAAAAGGCTCCAAATATCCACTTGCTGATTCGAAAAAAAGACTGTTTCAAAACAGCTCAATCCAAAGAAAGGTTCTACTCTGTGAGATGAATGAACACATCATAAAGTAGTTTCTCAGAATGCTTCTGGGTAGTTTTTATTTGAAGAAATTTCCCTACCCAGAATAGGCCTCAAGTCGCTCTAAATATCCACTTGCAGATCCTACAAAAAGAGTGTGTCAAAACTGCTCAATCAAAAGAAAGGTTCTACTCTGTGAGATGGATGCAAACATCAGAAAGTAGTTTCGCAGAATTCTTCTGTGTAGTTTCTATTTGAAGATATTTCCTTTTCCACTCTAGGGCGAAATAGGGTTCCAAATATTCACTTGCAGAATCTACAAAAAGAGAGATTCTAAACTGCTCAATCAACAGATACGTTCAACAATGTGAGTTGAATGCACACATCACAAATAAGTTTCACAGAATGCTTCTGTACAGTTTTTATATGAAGATATCTCCTTCTCCAAAACACAACTCAAATCCCTACAAATATTCACTTCCAGATTCTACGGAATGATTGTCTCAAAACTACTAAATCAAAACAAAGGTTCAACTCTGTGATGAATGCACTCATCAGAAAGAAGGTTCTCTGAATGCTTCTGTGCAGTTTTTGTGTGAAGATATTGCATTTTCCACAGTACGCCTCAAAGCGCTCCAAATATCCACTCGCAGGTTCTGTAAAAAGAGAGATTCAAAACTGGTGAATCAAAAGATAGGTTCAACACTGTGACTTCAGTGCACAACTCACAAAGGTGTTTATCAGAAATCTTCTGTGTAGTTTTTATGTGAAGATATTTGTTTTTCCACAGCAGGCCCCAATGAACTCCAAATATCCACTTGCAGATTCTATAAAAAGAGTGTTTCAAAACTGCTCAATCAACAGAGACATTCAACTCTGTGAGATGAATGCACACATCACAAAGAAGTTTCTCAGAATGCTTCTGCATAGTTTTTATGTGAAGATATTTCCTTCTCCACTATAGGCCTCAAAAGGCTCCAAATATCCACCTGCAGATTCTAAAAAAATAGCGTTTCAAAACTGCTGTATCAAAAGAAAGATTCAACTCTGTGACATGAATGCACAGATCACAAAGAAGTTTCTGAGAATGCTTCTGTGTATTTTGTATTTGAAGATATTTCCTCTTCCACCATAGGGCTCATAGGGCTCCAAATATCCACTTGCAGATTCTACAAAAAGAGTATTCCAAAACTGCTCAATCAAAAGAAACGTCTAAAACTGTGAGATGAATGCACACATCACAAAGTAGTTTCTCAGAATGCTGCTGTGTAGTTTTTATTTGAGGATAGTTCATTTTCCACCATAGGCCTCAAAGGGCTCTAAATATGCACTTGCAGATGGTACAAAAAGAGAGATTCAAAACTGTTCAATCAAAAGGTAGTTTCAACCCTGTGATATGAATGCACACATCACAGAGAAGTTTCTCAAAATGTTTCTTTGTAGTTTTGATATGAAGATATCTCCTTCTCCAAAATAGATCTCAAAGCCCTCCAAATATTCACTTCCAGATTCTATGGAAAGAGTCTCAAAACTGCTCAGTCAAAATAAAGGTAGAACTCTGTGAGAAGAATGCACACATCACAAAGAAGTTTCTCAGAATATATCTGTGCAGTTTTTGTGTGAAGATATTTCATTTTCCACAGTACGCCTCAAAGCGCTCCAAATATCCACTCCCAGATTCTGTAAAAAGAGAGATTCAAAACTGCTGAATCAAAAGATACGTTCAACAACGTGACTTCAGTGCACAACTCACAAAGGTGTTTCTCAGAATGCTTCTGTGTAGTTTTTATGAGAAGTTATTTGTTTTCCACAGTAGGCCCCAATGAACTCCAAATATCTGCTTGCAGATTCTACAAAAAGAGTGTTTCAAAACTACTCAATCAACAGAGACATTCAACTCTGTGAGATGAATGCACACATCACAAAGAAGTTTTGCCGAATGCTTCTGCATAGTTTTTATGTGAAGATATTTCCTTCTACACTGTAGGCCTGAAAAGGCTCCAAATATCCATTTACAGATTCTAAAAAAGAGTGTTTCAAAACTGCTATATCAATACAAACATCCAACTCTGTGAGATGAATGCACAGATCACAAAGAAGTTTCTCAGAATGCTTCTGGGTAGTTTTTAGTTGAAGAAATTTCCCTTTCCACAATAGGCCTCAAATCACTCTAAATATCCACTTGCAGATTCTACAAAAAGAGTGTTTCAAAACTGCTCAATCCAAAGAAAGGTTGTACCCTGTGAGATGAATGCACGCATCACAAAGTAGTTTCTCAGAATGCTTCTGTGTAGTTTCTATTTGAAGATATTTCCTTTTCCAATATAGGGCAAAATAGGGCCCCAAATATTCACTTGCAGATTCTACAAAAAGAGAGATTCTAAACTACTCAATCAACAGATACCTTCAACAATGTGAGTTGAATGCACACATCGCAAATAAGTTTCACAGAATGCTTCTGTGTAGTTTTGATATGAAGATATCTCCTTCTCCAAAACAGAACTCAAAGCCCTCCAAATATTCACTTCCAGATTGTACGGAAAGATTGTGTCAAAACTGCTAAATCAAAACAAAGGTTCAACTCTGTGATGAATGCACTCATCAGAAAGAAGGTTCTCTGAATGCTTCTGTGTAGTTTTTATGTGAAGATATTTGTTTTTCCACAGTAGGCCCCAATGAGCTACAAATATCCACTCGCAGGTTCTGTAAAAAGAGAGATTCAAAACTGCTGAATCAAAAGATAGGTTCAACACTGTGACTTCAGTGCACAACTCACAAAGGTGTTTCTCAGAAATCTTCTGCATAGTTTTTATGTGAAGATATTTCCTTCTCCACTATAGGCCTCAAAAGGCTCCAAATATCCACTTGCAGATTCTGAAAAAAGAGTGTTTCAAAACTGCTGTGTCAAAAGAAAGATTCAACTCTGTTAGATGAATGCACAGATCACAAAGAAGTTTCTCAGGATGCTTCTGCATAGTTTTTATGTGAAGATATTTCCTTCTCCACCATAGGCCTCAAAAGGCTCCAAATATCCACTTGCAGATTCTAAAAAAAGAGTGTTTCAAAACTGCTCAATCCAAAGAAAGGTTCTACTCTGTGAGATGAATGCACACATCACAAAGTAGTTTCTCAGAATGCTTCTGGGTAGTTTTTATTTGAAGAAATTTCCCTTTCCACAATAGGCCTCAAATCGCTCTAAATATCCATTTGCAGATTCTACAAAAAGAGTGTTTCAAAACTGCTCACTCAAAAGAAAGGTTCTACTCTGTGAGGTGAATGCACGCATCACAAAGTGGTTTCTCAGAATGCTTCTGTGTGGTTTCTATTTGAAGATATTTCCTTTTCCACTCTAGGGCGAAATAGGGCTCCAAATATTCACTTGCAGTATCTACAAAAAGAGAGATTCTAAACTGCTCAATCAACAGATACGTTCAACAATGTGAGTTGAATGCACACATCACAAATAAGTTTCACAGAATGCTTCTGTGTAGTTTTTATATGAAGATATCTCCTTCTCCAAAACAGATCTTAAAGCCCTACAAATATTCACTTCCAGATCCTACGGAAAGATTGTCTCAAAACAGCTAAATCAAAACAAAGGTTCAACACTGTGATGAATGCACTCATCAGAAAGAAGGTTCTCTGAATGCTTCTGTGTAGTTTTTGTGTGAAGATATTTCATTTTCCACAGTACGCCTCAAAGCGCTCCAAATATCCACTCGCAGGTTCTGTAAAAAGAGAGATTCAAAACTGCTGAATCAAAAGATAGGTTCAACACTGTGACTTCAGTGCACAACTCACAAAGGTGTTTCTCAGAAATCTTCTGTGTAGTTTTTATGTGAAGATATTTGTTTTTCCACAGTAGGCCCCAATGAGCTCCAAATATCCACTTGCAGATTCCACAAAAAGAGTGTTTCAAAACTGCTCAATCAACAGAGACATTCAACTCTGTGAGATGAATGCACCCATCACAAAGAAGTTTCTCAGAATGCTTCTGCATAGTTTTTATGTGAAGATATTTCCTTCTCCACTATAGGCCTCAAAAGGCTCCAAATATCCACTTGCGGATTCTAAAAAAAGAGTGTTTCAAAACTGCTGTATCAAAACAAAGATTCAACTCTGTGAGATGAATGCACAGATCGCAAAGAAGTTTCTCAGAATGCTTCTGGGTAGTTTTTATTTGAAGAAATTTCCCTTTCCACAATAGGCCTCAAATCGCTCTAAATATATTCTTGCAGATTCTACAAAAAGAGTGTTTCAAAACTGCTCAATCAAAAGAAAGCTTCTACTCTGTGAGATGAATGCACGCAACACAAAGTGGTTTCTCAGAATGCTTCTGTGTAGTTTCTATTTGAAGACATTTCCTTTTCCACTATAGGGCGAAATAGGGCTCCAAATATTCACTTGCAGATTCTACAAAAAGAGAGATTCTAAACTGCTCAATCAACAGATACGTTCAACAATATGAGTTGAAAGCACACATCACAAATAAGTTTCACAGAATGCTTCTGCGTAGTTAATATATGAAGATATCTCCTTCTCCAAAACAGATCTCAAAGCCCTCCAAATATTCACTTCCAGATTCTACCGAAAGATTGTCTCAAAACTGCTAAATCAAAACAAAGGATCAACTCTGTGATGAATGCACTCATCAGAAAGAAGGTTCTCTGAATGCTTCTGTGTAGTTTTTTTGTGAAGATATTTCATTTTCCACAGTATGCCTCAAAGCGCTCCAAATATCCACTCGCAGGTTCTGTAAAAAGAGAGATTCAAAACTGCTGAACCAAAAGATAGGTTCAACAATGTGACTTCAGTGCACACCTCACAAAGGTGTTTCTCAGAAATCTTCTGTGTAGTTTTTATGTGAAGATATATGTTTTTCCACAGTAGTCCCCAATGAGCTCCAAATATCCACTTGCAGATTCTACAAAAACAGTGTTTCAAAACTGCTCAATCAACAGATACATTCAACTCTGTGAGATGAATGAACCCATCACAAAGAAGTTTCTCAGAATGCTTCTGTGTAGTTTTTATGTGAAGATATTTGTTTTTCCACAGTAGGACCAAATGAGCTCCAAATATCCACTTCCACATTCTACAAAAAGAGTGTTTCAAAACTGTTCAATCAACAGAGACATTCAACTCTGTGACATGAATGCAGCCATCACAAAGAAGTTTCTCAGAATGCT
>NC_000020.11:29125793-29129696 GCF_000001405.40 Homo sapiens | reverse complement strand
CTTCTGTGTAGTTTTTTTTTTTTTTTTTTTGAGACGGAGTCTTGCTCTCTCGCCCAGGCTGGAGTGCAGAGGCGCGATCTCGGCTCACTGCAAGCTCCGCCTCCCGGGCTCACGCCATTCTCCTGCCTCACCCTCCCGAGTAGCTGGGACTACAGGCGCCCGCTACCACGCCCGGCTAATTTTTTGTATTTTTTTTTAGTAGAGACAGGGTTTCACCGTGTTAGCCAGGATGGTCTCGATCTCCTGACCTCGTGATCCGCCCGCCTCGGCCTCCCAAAGTGCTGGGATTACAGGCGTGAGCCACCGCGCCCAGCTCTCCATAGTTTTTATGTGAAGATATTTCCTTCTCCACTATAGGTCTCAAAAGGCTCCAAATATCCACTTGCAGATTCGAAAAAAAGACTGTTTCAAAACAGCTCAATCCAAAGAAAGGTTCTACTCTGTGAGATGAATGAACACATCATAAAGTAGTTTGCTCAGAATGCTTCTGGGTAGTTTTTATTTGAAGAAATTTCCCTACCCAGCTCAGGCCTCAAGTCGCTCTAAATATCCACTTGCAGATCCTACAAAAAGAGTGTGTCAAAACTGCTCAATCAAAAGAAAGGTTCTACTCTGTGAGATGGATGCAAACATCAGAAAGTAGTTTCGCAGAATTCTTCTGTGTAGTTTCTATTTGAAGATATTTCCTTTTCCACTCTAGGGCGAAATAGGGCTCCAAATATTCACTTGCAGATTCTACAAAAAGAGAGATTCTAATCTGCTCAATCAACAGATACGTTCAACATTGTGAGTTGAATGCACACATCACAAATAAGTTTCACAGAATGCTTCTGTATAGTTTTTATATGAAGATATCTCCTTCTCCAAAACAGAACTCAAAGCCCTCCAAATATTTACTTCCAGATTCTACGGAAAGATTGTGTCAAAACTGCTAAATCAAAACAAAGGTTCAACTCTGTGATGAATGCACTCATCAGAAAGAAGGTTCTCTGAATGCTTCTGTGCAGTTTTTGTGTGAAGATGTTTCATTTTCCACAGTACGCCTCAAAGCGCTCCAAATATCCACTCGCAGGTTCTGTAAAAAGAGAGATTCAAAACTGGTGAATCAAAAGATAGGTTCAACACTGTGACTTCAGTGCACACCTCACAAAGGTGTTTATCAGAAATCTTCTGTGTAGTTTTTATGTGAAGATATTTGTTTTTCCACAGCAGGCCCCAATGAACTCCAAATATCCACTTGCAGATTCTATAAAAAGAGTGTTTCAAAACTGCTCAATCAACAGAGACATTCAACTCTGTGAGATGAATGCACACATCACAAAGAAGTTTCTCAGAATGCTTCTGCATAGTTTTTATGTGAAGATAATTCCTTCTCCACTATAGGCCTCAAAAGGCTCCAAATATCCACTTGTAGATCCTAAAAAAATAGTGTTTCCAAACTGCTGTATCAAAAGAAAGATTCAACTCTGTGAGATGGATGCACAGATCACAAAGAAGTTTCTCATAAAGCTTCAGGGTAGTTTTTATTTGAAGAAATTTCCCTTTCCACAATAGGCCTCAAATCGCTCTAAATATCCACTTGCAGATTCTAAAAAAAGAGTGTTTCAAAACTGCTCAATCCAAAGAAAGGTACTACTCTGTGAGATGAATGCACACATCACAAAGTAGTTTGTCAGAATGCTTCTGTGTAGCTTCTATTTGAAGATATTTCCTTTTCCACTATAGGGCGAAATAGGGCTCCAAATATTCACTTGCAGATTCTACAAAAAGAGAGATTCTAATCTGCTCAATCAACAGATACTTTCAACATTTTTGGTTGAATGCACACATCACAAATAAGTTTCACAGAATGCTTCTGTATAGTTTTTATATGAAGATATCTCCTTCTCCAAAACAGAACTCAAAGCCCTCCAAATATTTACTTCCAGATTCTACGGAAAGATTGTCTCAAAACTGCTAAATCAAAACAAAGGTTCAACTCTGTGATGAATGCTCTCATCAGAAAGAAGTTTCTCTGAATGCTTCTGTGTAGTTTTTGTGTGAAGATATTTCATTTTCAACAGTACTCCCCAAAGCGCTCCAAATATCCACTCTCAGATTCTGTAAAAAGAGAGATTCAAAACTGCTGAATCAAAAGATACGTTCAACAACGTGACTTCAGTGCACAACTCACAAAGGTGTTTCTCAGAATGCTTCTGTGTAGTTTTTATGAGAAGTTATTTGTTTTTCCACAGTAGGCCCCAATGAGCTCCAAATATCTACTTGCAGATTCTACAAAAAGAGTGTTTCAAAACTACTCAATCAACAGAGACATTCAACTCTGTGAGATGAATGCACACATCACAAATAAGTTTTGCCGAATGCTTCTGTGTAGTTTTTATGTGAAGATATTTCCTTCTACACTGTAGGCCTGAAAAGACTCCAAATATCCATTTACAGATTCTAAAAAAAGAGTGTTTCAAAACTGCTGTATCAATAGAAACATCCAACTCTGTGAGATGAATGCACAGATCACAAAGAAGTTTCTCAGAATGCTTCTGGGTAGTTTTTAGTTGAAGAAATTTCCCTTTCCACAATAGGCCTCAAATCACTCTAAATATCCACTTGCAGATTCTACAAAAAGAGTGTTTCAAAACTGCTCAATCCAAAGAAAGGTTGTACCCTGTGAGATGAATGCACGCATCACAGAGTAGTTTCTCAGAATGCTTCTGTGTAGTTTCTATTTGAAGATATTTCCTTTTCCAATATAGGGCAAAATAGGGCCCCAAATATTCACTTGCAGATTCTACAAAAACAGAGATTCTAAACTACTCAATCAACAGATACCTTCAACAATGTGAGTTGAATGCACACATCGCAAATAAGTTTCACAGAATGCTTCTGTGTAGTTTTTATATGAAGATATCTCCTCCTCCAAAACAGATCTCAAAGCCCTCCAAATATTCACTTCCAGATTGTACGGAAAGATTGTGTCAAAACTGCTAAATCAAAACAAAGGTTCAACTCTGTGATGAATGCACTCATCAGAAAGAAGGTTCTCTGAATGCTTCTGTGTAGTTTTTGTGTGAAGACATTTCATTTTCCACAGTATGCCTCAAAGCGCTCCAAATATCCACTCTCAGATTCTGTAAAAAGAGAGATTCCAAACTGCTGAATCAAAAGATAGGTTCAACACTGTGACTTAGGTGCACAATTCACAAAGATGTTCCTCAGAAATCTTCAGTGTAGTTTTTATGTGAAGACATTAGCTTGTCCACGGAAGGTCTCAAAGCGCTCCAAATATCCACTTGCAGATTCTACAAAATGAGTGTTTCAAAACTGCTCAATCATTAGATAGGTTCAACCCTGTGACATGAATGCACACGTAACAAAGAAGTTTTTCAGAATGCTTCTGCATAGTTTTTATGTGAAGATATTTCCTTCTCCACTATAGGCCTCAAAAGGCTCCAAATATCCACTTGCGGATTCTAAAAAAAGAGTGCTTCTAAACTTCTGTATCAAAAGAAAGATTCAACACTGTGAGATGAATGCACAGATCACAAAGAAGTTTCTCAGAATGCTTCTGCATAGTTTTTATGTGAAGATATTTCCTTCTCCACTATAGGTATCAAAAGGCTCCAAATATCCACTTGCAGATTCGAAAAAAAGACTGTTTCAAAACAGCTCAATCCAAAGAAAGGTTCTACTCTGTGAGATGAATGAACACATCATAAAGTAGTTTCTCAGAATGTTTCTGGGTAGTTTTTATTTGAAGAAATTTCCCTACCCAGAATAGGCCTCAAGTCGCTCT
This sequence comes from Homo sapiens, assembly GCF_000001405.40. NCBI lineage: Eukaryota > Metazoa > Chordata > Mammalia > Primates > Hominidae > Homo > Homo sapiens. The sequence goes on along the minus strand of NC_000020.11, from coordinate 29,125,906 downwards.
AAATATCCACTTGCAGATCCTACAAAAAGAGTGTGTCAAAACTGCTCAATCAAAAGAAAGGTTCTACTCTGTGAGATGGATGCAAACATCAGAAAGTAGTTTCACAGAATTCT
>NC_000020.11:28889218-28890335 GCF_000001405.40 Homo sapiens | reverse complement strand
ATGGAATGGAACGTAGTGTAGTGGAGTGTAGTGTAGTGGAGTGGAGTGCAGTGGAGTGGAATGGAGTGTAATGAAATGGGATATAATCTAATAGAATGGAGTGGAGTGGAGTGGACTGGAATGGTGTGGAATGAGATGGGATGCAATGGAGTGGAGTGGAGTGGAGTGGAATGAAAGGAATGTAGTGGAGTGGAGTGGAGTGGAATGGAAGGAAATGGAGTAGAATGGAATGGAATGGAATGGTGAAATGAAATGTGAGCTGAGATTGTGCCACTGCACTCCAGCCTGTTTGACAGTGAGATCCTGTCGAAAGAAAGGTATGGAATAAAATGGAATGGAATGAAATGGAATGGAGTGGATTGGAGTAGAGTTTAGTGGAATGCTGTGGAATGGAATGGGACGGAATGGAATGGAATGGAATGTCTTGGAGTAGAGTGGATTGGAGTGGAGTGGAGTGGAATGGAGTGGAATAGAATGGGATTCAATGGAATGGAGTGGAATGGAGTAGAGTGGACTGGAATGGAGTGGAATGGAATGTAACAGAATGGAATGGAATGGAATGGAATGGAATGGAATGGAAAGGATTGGAGTGGAATGGAATGGAATGGAATGGAATGGTGAAATGAAATGTGAGCTGAGATACTGCTGCTGCACTCCAGCCTGGGTGACACAGTGAGATCCTGTCGAAAGAAAGGAATGGAATGAAATGGAATGGAATAGAGTGGAGTGGAGTGGAGTGGAGAGGAATAGAGTGGAATGTAATGGGATGGTTTGGAATGGAGTGGAGTGGATTGGAGGGGTTTATAGTGGAATGGAGTGGATGGAATGGAATGGAGTTGAGTGGAGTGAAGTGGAGTGGAGTGCAGTGGAATGTTATGGAATGGAATGGAATGGAATGCAATGGAATGCTGAAGTGAAATATCAGCTGAGATTGCTCCACTGCACTCCAGCCTGGGTGACAGAGTGAGATCCTGTCGAAAGAAAGGAGTGGAATGGAATGGAGTGGTGTGGTATGGAATGGAATGGAAGGGAGTGTAGTTTAGTCTACTGTACTGTAGTGGAGTGGAGTGGAGTTGAATGCGATGGGATGGAATGGAAGGGAGTGGAGTGGAGTGGA